>NC_000014.9:77187470-77338985 GCF_000001405.40 Homo sapiens | reverse complement strand
ACAAACAATTGAAAGAAAGTGCTTCATAGTAGGAGAGAGATTGGAATTCTCTATAGTGACTGAGTTCTTAAATTTCTTTAGTTTTAGTTTTGCCACTTTGTTGAGAGATGGGCCTTTTAGAAAGGAAGACATATTTAAAGTATTGATTTCTTTTCCCCCAGTGTTTTATTGTGAAAAAATTTCAGCAAACAGCTTAAAAGAAATATAAATATATTGTAAACCAAAAAGTATCTGAGACAGGTCTCAATACATTTAGAGGTTTATTTTGCCAAGGTTCAGAGCCCATGATGGGGCCTCAGGAGGTTCTTAGAACATGTGCCCGAGGTAGTCGGGTTACAGTTTTATACATTTGAGGGAGACAGAAGGTCCAGGCAAAGCCATAAATCAATACATGTAAGGTATACACTGGTTTGGCCTGGAAAGGCAGGACATCTTGAAGATGGGGGTTTCCAGGTCAGAGGTAGATCAAAGAGTTCCTGACTGGCAGTTGGTTGAGAGAGTTAAACTTTACCTGAAAAGATGAAGTCAGCTTAAGTTAAAGTAAGGGAGGCTTGGCTTAAGTCATGTAGATGAAGCCTCCAGGTAGCAGGCTTCAGAGAGAACAGATGATGAATTTTTCTTTTTAGGCCTTAAAAGGTGTCAGACTCTCCAGAAAAGACCTAATAAGAGAAGGAGATTCTCTACAGAATGCAGTTTCCCCCACAAGAGACAGCTTTGTAGGGCCATTTCAAAATACGTCAAATAAATATATTGGGGGGTAAATTTCCTTTGGGGCCTGCTGTCATGTGATGCTATACCAGAGTCAGGTTGGGATTTGGTATTTTATTGCCACAAAGGGTCTGTTTGGTTAGTCTTAAGATCTCTGTTTTAATGTTAATGCTGGTCAGTTGTATTTAAATTCCAAAGGGAAGAGGGTAATATGAGGCACCCTGTAATCTGACCATAATATGAGGCACCCTGTCTTCCCATCATGGACTAGTTTTTCAGGTTCCTTTGAGATCCCCTGGGCCAAGACAGGGGTCCATTCAGCCGGTTGGGGGATTTAGAATTTATTTTTGGTTTGCTGTATATATATGTATACACACACTCCCCGCATAAATGTAAAAATTTTAAACTACCAATTCCTAGGCAAAGATGATTCTAACATTCTGTTCCTTTTGACAAGTGTCCAATTAGAGAATGCTGAGAATGTCCCCTGCATATCGGCTCTGTTGGAGAGCCCCTGATTTTTAGCAGACCTGTTTCATTCAACATGGGTTACCCAGGAGGTGGTCTTCATAAAAATGTTTCTTGGAGGCCAGGCGCCGTGGCCCACGCCTGTAATCCCAGCACTTTGGGAGGCCAAGGTGGGCAGACCACCTTAGGCCAGGAGTTCGAGACCAGCCTGGCCAACATAGTGAAACTCCGTCGCTACTAAAAATACAAAAAATTAGCTGGGCGTGGTGGCGGGCATCTGTAATCCCAGCTACTCTGGAGGCAGAAGCAGGGAGAATTTCTTGAGCCCAGGAGGCAGAGGTTGCAGCGAGCCGAGATCATGCCACTGCACTCCAGACTGGGCAACAGAGCAAGATTCCGTCTCAAAAAAAAAAAAATTGTTTCTTGGTCTCCATCTTTCAAGAAAATACATCTGTGCTGTATTTTCCCCTTCCCTCAGGCCATGATCTCTGCTGTTTTCCTTACTAACTGGCATGTCAGTACAAGAGTGATTGTGAAGCTGCTCCGGAAGGGCTTTATGCTAACCTCTGTTGCTTGATGACATGTCCTCAGGACTCTGATATTAAAACTCAATCCTTAGATAACAGGTAGCTTTATCATGGAAGTAGGTAGCAATTTGGAATTAGACCATTCTTAGTTATTTTTTTCTTAATGAATTGATACATGCACTTTAAAAAATATTTTTGTTATTTTGGGAAGAAAAACTCAGACTTTTAAAAAAGTGTATATTGTCCCATTATAATATGTATATGGAAGAGTGAAATCTGAACGCTGTCTTATATTAAGCAGTAGAATTAGGTATTATCATAAAAAGTCTTAATCTGTAGGGAATATGAGTTTATGTTTATGAGTCCTGCTCAGTCCCTCTTTGAGAGAATTAGTTGAAACCCAGACTCTAAAGTCTGCTTTTATATTTGTTTGTTAAGACCACTTATCTGCAGAAGGTTGCCTTTTAACCCCAGTGGTTCTAAGGTGTGGAATTGAGTGACCCTAATATTTACATAAGAGACTTGTTTTAGTGGAGCATAAGGGAGGGGCATAAGTTACACCGTTTTGTGCTGCTTGAGAACTGTCTTTTAAAATTGATCACAACGAGGGAAAACAAAATAAAATTAGGGGGCAAAGGGTAGGAGTATGGGGGGAGGGGAGAGCAAACCTATCGAATATATCTTAGAATTTTGCTCAGAAATCACTGCTGCCTCTCAAGTGTTGCATTGTCCCTGCCTAAACCAAGAAGGCTAAACAAAGCCCCTCCTGTTTGAATTCTTAAGGTAAGAAATTTCTAAGCTAAGAAAACACTATTGCCTAAAACCAATGATAGTGGAGCTCATTTACAAATAGGCATGCCTCACACACACAGTCCAAAGGCAAGACACTGGCTTTGAAATTAGGCTCATGATGTGATTCCTATTATATGTACCTGATTTTTTTAGGCCCCAGGTATGTGGACCAGAGTTAATGTCATGACTCTTCAAAGATATGATGAAAAGTTGCCCTAGAAATCTAGAGATGCATGTTTATTTAATTCCATAGTTTAAAAAAAAATTTAAGCAGGTAGTTGTGGCTTATCTGGGGGCAAAATAATATATGTGAAATTGCTTCCAGAGGACAAAGTATATTTTCTAAAGTCCTGAAATAGGATCATGAACCCTTCTGAAGTTTTGGTTTGAAATATTATAGTATATGATATTACCAAAGAGCCCTTAATTCAGAGTTTAAGGGGCTCTCTTCCTGAACTCTCTTCATCACTCAGGGTTGAATGTGTAATGTTCCTTGCTATTGATTGTTATTGTTGATTCTTAGGATCAGGCCAAGAATCATCTGGAAAACATTATCTTAATTCCGTCTCTCATATCCTAAACAGTACATTTTACTAAGAAATTCCATATGAAAAACTCCACTCATGTCTCCTGAGATTATCCTGTAAGTGAAGTAGCTTTCATTTAACCAAGCTAAATTATTTCCATTTAGCCATGTTAAAGAGAAGCCAAGTCTAGAGAAAGCAATCCTGTAACCCATGAATCTGGTGTACCCATTTTCCCTTAACGTAACGGGAAGTGTTTTGAAATTCCCAGAAGAGAGCTGTTTTGTAATCAAAGTGATGGATTATAAGAAAGCCAGACTTTGGAAAAGGATAATTGGAATA
This sequence comes from Homo sapiens, assembly GCF_000001405.40. Lineage (NCBI taxonomy): Eukaryota > Metazoa > Chordata > Mammalia > Primates > Hominidae > Homo > Homo sapiens. The sequence continues at coordinate 77,335,624 of NC_000014.9, read as the reverse complement.
AAGGGAGGTGCTTGAAGATTTTCCAAACTACTTTATGTCATTTAGCTTCTATTTTCTGAAGGGCTTTCTTTGGTGCCATGTACTCAGATCAGTCAGTTGACTGAAAGATGATCATGTTTTCTTCGTAAAGATTTAAGCAATTGGCAACTACAAAGACATTATTTTCTTACTGTTCTATATCATGTACTGTTGCTGACATTACAAAAAGGGTCTGGAAGGGAAACCGTGTCACTGTTTTATCTTTTTTCTTTAAAATACAAAAGTATCCCAACTAATCATTTATTATGGTCAGCTTGTTTTACATGTCCCCTATCATGAGAAATGCTATCAACATCTGTGATTTCTAAGAGTCTTACCAAATTGTTACTTTAATTCTTGTGTCCTGCTGAGTGGTTTTTCTTTTAAAATACCATTTTTATCACCCTGTGGCACTGGGTGTGTTACTGCGATTACACTGATGATTCTGAGCTGTGCTTCTTCAAGTAGCTCAGTTCTTGCGTTTTATATTAGGTAACAGTTTTGTGATGCTTTTGTGCATTCTTTGTCATCTCTTCTGAGTTTTCGAATCTGTCATAAATAAACTTTTTCACTATGCACCTGGTAACATCTGAGTTATATTTTAATGAACCTGATTTACATTTTAAATTCTTTGTCTTTCATGTATCTTCCTTAAGAAAGGTATTCTATAAGCCCATATGAATTATTTCATAATCTATTAAGATTGTGAAAGTTAAGAAGAACTAAAAAGAAAAAAAATTGAGAATAAGATTAATAATAGATCTTTCATCTGCATTTAAATTCATGGCAGAGTATCATGACCTGGGAACTGGGAATGGAAAAACTGGGTTTATAGTGATGATTAATAAGTTCTGAGTTTTATGTCAGCATTTGGTCCCAGTGAGGCCTGTTTCCCCATGAAGATATTCTGTTCAAATTTGGAACCTCGACTTCGGATACCAGGCCAATCATTAACGTAATCTGGGTGATATGAATTCAGCCTATTTTCATTTACAAAAAGTGACACCATAATATATCTTTGCTGTCTTTTAAAACACTGCCTCTCCACATCCCTAGTGTCTGTTGCAGAATAAGGACTCACATCTGAGCAGGGAAGGGTGGCATTTAAATATTTCCTTCAGTGATATCTGTGATGCTAAAATGAACCTGTTAGATCATTCTCTGCTTTCTGTTGCAACATATTTTAGAGGTTGAAGCATGAAAGAGAAGGGATCTGAAACAATTCAGTTGAATGTAATCACCAAACTACCCTACAAGTAACAAAAAGCCCAGGCAGATTCCATGTAGCTGGAGATCATTAATGATTCATGTTTGGGTATGCTGGATGTAATATGTCACTGTGAACACATAATATATTTAAGATTATTATTATTTTTTGAGATGGAGTCTCACTTTGTCGCCAGGCTGGAGTGCAGTGGCATGATCTCGGCTTACTGCAACCTCCGCCTCCCTGGTTCAAGCAATTCTCCTGTCTCAGCCTCCTGAGTAGCTGGAATTACAGGCACATGCCACCACGCCCAGCTAATTTTTTGTATTTTAGTAGAGACAGGGTTTCACCATGTTACCCAGGCTGGTCTTGAACTCCTGAGCTCAGGCAATCCACCCGCCTCAGCCTCCCAAAGTGCTAGGATTACAGGTGTGAGCCACCGCACCTGGCCTTAAGATTATTTTTTAACTTTTAAAAGCATTCATATGTGTCATATCATTGACCTTGACATAGCTCAGGATTACAAAAGGCAGCTCACACATTACAGCTCTTGACATTCAGCCTTGATGTTCTTTAACCTGTGCACTTCTGGCTTAAACTCAGCAGCTATCCTTAGTTCAAAGTATTCTCTGAAAGTAGAATTGCTGTGACCTTGGAAGCAAGAGCTAAATAAGTTATGTTTAGAAGTAAGAGCTGGCCCAGCTACTTGGGAGGCTGAGGCGGGAGGATCAAGATCAGCCTGGGCAACACAGTGAGACTCCATCTCTAAAAAAATTTTTTTTAAATAAAATATCTAGGCCGGGCGTGGTGGCTCACACCTGTAATCCCAGCACTTTGGGAGACCGAGGCAGGTGGATCACAAGGTCAAGAGATCAAGACCATTCTGGCCAACATGGTGAAACCCTGTCTCTACTAAAAATACAAAAATTAGCTGGGTGTGGTGGCGTGGGCCTGCAGTCCCAGCTACTTGGGAGGCTGAGGCAGGAGAATCCCTTGAACCTGGGAGGCGGAGGTTGCAGTGAACCGAGATCGCTCCACTGCACTCCAGCCTGGCGAGAGAGTGAGACTCTGTCTCCAAAAAAAAAAAAAAAAACAAAAACAAAACACTAAAAGTTAGGAGGAGCCGTATCTTGGCCAGGCGTGGTGGCTCACGCCTGTAATCCCAGCACTTTGGGAGGCCGAAGTGGGCAGATCACCTGAGGTCAGGAGTTCGAGACCAGCTTAACCAACGCGCCTGTAATCCCAGTACTCGGGAGGCTGAGGCAGGAGAATCACTTGAACCCAGGAGGTGGAAAGTTGCAATGAACCTGAGCTCTTACCACTGCACTCCAGCCTGGGCATGACAGAGCAAGACTCCATCACAAAAAAAAAATAAATAAATAAAAATAAAAAAAAATAGTATGAGTATGTGTATCACCTGTTTATCCAGTAAGTTTGCCACTTTCCTTAATGGATATGTAAAATTTCTGAGGAACACAGCCTATAATTTTTGCTTTGTTCTCAGGTATTTCCTGATAGCACCTCCCTACTGCTTTCCTCCTCCTGAAGTATTTCTGGGGACTTGTTACTTCCATAGAGTTGGAATTACCAGTATCAGGCCCCTCCATCATTGTTCTTCCTTCACTGTGGCCACTCCCACTCTGGGAAGACCACGTACATATCTAGTCTCCCTGTGCCTCTAGCATATCAGGATCAGGTGTCTGCTGAGTGTGATATGGAAAGGAAGGACTTGACTTACCACTCATCCGTTTGAGAGAAGCCCCTACTGGAAAATGTCCTGTAAAAAGGTGATGGTCTTTGCTACGATTTAAATGTTTATGTCCCCTCTAAAATTCATGTTGAAACTTAATCTCCAATACAACAGTATTCAGAGGTGGGGCCTTCAAGAGGTAAAGCTCCTAAAAAGTCATCTCATTTCATCCCCAGAAGCTACCCCAATCTCTGTACGGCATCTCTGCCCAGAGGTGGTCCTGGTTCTGCCTGAACACTGCCAAGCATGGGAACTTGCTCCCTCCAGGGCAGCCTGTGGTACACTGCTACCTGCTTGGTCTCCTAAGCTGGCCTGGTCAGTAGCTGCTCACACTGCCCACGGGGGAGCCTGCCTCCCATTCCCAGCACCATCTGTGACTGGATTTACCCCGAGTGCCTAATCCTGGGACTGGTCTGGAGAATGCTGGCCCTGAAGACGAGGGACTGGTTGAGAGGGCCAAATGGCCTCTCAGTGCTGGAGTGGAATATGTTTTTTTTTTTTAGATGGAGTCTCACTCTATCTCCCAAGCTGGAGTGCACTGGTGCAATCTCGGCTCACTGCAACCTCCACCTCCCAGGTTCAAGCCATTCTCCCACCTCAGCTGGGACTACAGGCACCTGCCACTACACCCGGCTAATTTTTGTATTTTTAGTAGAGTCGGGGTTTCACCATGTTGGCCAGGCTGGTCTTGAACTCCTGACCTCAAGTGATCCACCTGCCTCGGCCTCCCAAAGTGCAGGGATTATAGGCATGAGCCACTGCGCCCAGCCTGGAGTGGAACATTTAACAACGGTACCATTCCTAGCCCTGAGAACTCAGCCAGTCACTAGATGCTTTCCTGCTTCTATCTGTTATCTCCCTGGATCTTGTCTGATTCTTTCAGGCAGGCTTTTGGGTATATTTCTCATCATTGCCCTTAGGTCCCATGGGCCAGGCCTGCCACAGGGTAGGCAAGTGGCTGACTGACTTCCTCTACTGGTCCAGGCACAGGGGATTCCAGCTAGGGACAGTGTTCATCTTCTGGAACCTAGCTCAGTCTTAGACAAACAAGGTAGAGGCCTGGGCTTCAGTTTAATTCACGCCAAATTTCAGCGCGGGCATTCTTTGGAGTCACACACAACAAAAGCGGATGAGAAAAGGCACACAGCCTTCCCCGTGGTGTTACGGTGAGCACGCCAGGCATTTTAATCCGCATTCTCATCTCAGCCTCACGACTGCCCCGTCACATAGATAACAGTATTCCTGCCCACCCTGCTCCCCGCATCTCCCTACTCCACCCCACATGCGTGTGACAGATGAGGGGACTGAGGTGGAACAAGTTTCAGCAGGAAGGCAGATCCAGGGCTAGAGTTCGAGTCTCCCATCTCCTCAATTAAGACTCTCGTTTCCAGGCCTCTTCAGCCCACCCAGCTTCTGCTCCTGTGGCCCTGTGCCAACGGGGCAGGATTTGGGAGCTAGGCCCTCAGCTCAGTGGGTGTATCTGGCTGCCGGCAGGGGTGAGACACCTGGAAGGCCTCCAAGACCAGCAGCCTCTTGTTGATGGAGCTGATGGTAGGGTAGGGGGTGAGATCCACCTTGAATCTGTAGTAGAGAAACACCTGCTAAGCTAAGGTTTTCAGGGACACAGGGAGACTGCCCTGATGCAGCAGGGGGAGCAGAGAGGCAGGGCTGGATGAGGTCGAGGGAGCTGTCCAGGGAAGGACGATGGGGCAGCCCTTATTCACAGGGGATGGGTAGGTCTTGTGCAGTATCATTTGGCATCTGTTACCTACTGTTCCTATTTCTTTGTGAACCTGCTATGTGTAAGGCCCAGTGCTAGGCATTTATATATACAGACTCTCTTCCCCCATGTTGTAAGCTTCTTGGGGGCAGGGAATGTGCCATACGTTTCCATATCCCTAACGCCTAGCATGATGCCTTCCAGAGAGGTGCTCATTTGTGCCCTACCAAAGGGTTCACGGAAGGATGCAGAGGTAGAGCTCACTACTGCTCACAGACACACCACATTTGAGGACATCAGGCAGGTGCTCTTGGGGGTCCACCAGGTGAGCCACCTCCTCTTAGGAGCTGGGGCTATCTATACAGGTTCATCTGGGCTGTGGTGGGCGTAGTAGGAGCACTGCCCCAATTTCTTCTGCCCTCTTCCAGGCAGAAGTGGCTATGTGGCCTGGCATGGTGGGCTCCTTGGCTGGTTGGCGAAGCGTCTGCATGAGATGCTATCTCGCCAGCTGAGTGGGGCCTGACTGTGGGCAGAGCCACGAGAAGGGAGGGTGGCGGGGCTCTCTCTTACCTTTCAGCATTTGCCACCTGAGGCACCAAGCACAGATCAGCCATGGTCACCTGAAAGAGGTCCCGGTGGGTTCCCATCAGGGTGCATACCCCAGAGTCAGTGGCTGGACTGGGTGTGTCCACTGCGACTCTACTGGGGGTACCAACAATCTGCTTCGGCTCTTTCACCCATCCCACCTCCAATTCTTGTCTGCCCTAGGCCTGCATGAGTCTGTCCCCCGGAGCTGAAGTGCCCTCCCAGGCCATGCTCCAGTTGCCCTGACAACCAACTCTGTGGGTTGAGAGGGCCAGAGAAGATGGATTGCCTTGACTGCGCAGACATCATCTAGCACAATCCCTCAACTGATGCTGGCCCGCCTCATCCTCTCACAGCCAGTCTTCTACCTTGAGTAACTCCCTCTTAAGACGGTTTAGTGGGAGTGAGCTGAGGAGTGCCCCATGGCACAGAGATCCCCCTGCAGACGCCTTCTCAGGAAGCTCTGAGCTTGAGGGAGGTCAGCATGAGGGAGGCAGCCACTGTGGCTGGGCCTGGGGAGGTCTGGGGACAGCTTACCTCGTCTCCTACACAGTATATGCCCGCTGTGCTCTGTAGGATCTGCTCCAGGGCTGTGGGGAGGCCACATAAACATCTTATTCTGGGCGCAGGGAGGGGACACAAAGCTTTCTGGGCCTTGGCCTCCATAGTTATGAAATGGGCGCCCAACTGAGTGACAGACTGGGCATGGCTGCTGGTGAGAATGTGGCAGCCAGGTCTCGAGAGAGCTGTTAGGGATGAGCTGCTGTTTCCTGAGGCTCCGCACAGACAATCACCATTTCCCCACTCGAGTGGACAAGCCCTGCCACTGGCCACGGTGACAGCTCTCACTCTGATGGCTGGCGCTGTGCTGGCCTTGGTTTCCCAGCTGGAGTAGGCAGTGAAGCTGAAGTTGGGCCATCCAGCTATGAAGGGCTGTGGGCTCAGGGACCGAGGTTCCCAGAAGTGCTGGAGCTAAGGTCTGGATGCCCACCCAGCCCATTGCCTCCCCAGTCCTGCCCTCATCCATGCAACTGTCAGGCCCAAAGCAGCCTGGGAGGCTGGTTCAGATACCCAGGCCCCTGTGTGCGAGGGCCATACCTCTAAGAGGCCACTGTGGGGCAGCTCACAGAGGTGAGGACTCACCGTTAAAGCCACAAGTGATGGCGTTCTGGGCCCAGGTCAGCTGCATCTCCTCTCCCACTTGCTTCAGGACAGACAGGTTCTGTGCAGCCCAAAGAAAATCTGTGATTGCGCTGACAGCTGGGTGGGGGCTACCCCTTCGCCAAACCCCCTCAGGGAAGTTCACTTCCCATCTGCCCCTGGCTGGATGTCTATCCCTTCTCCCCCAGGCTCCATGAGCCCCTTCCTTCAACCAAGGGCCCTGAGGTTGGAGGGAGGTAGCCATCCCAGCAGCCACCTTTGCAGGCTGCCCCAGTGGCCTCAAAAAGCCACGTGATTCTGTCAGAGATGTGCAAGAATCCCTATTCATGTGACACAGGACGCGGCCATGGCTGTGGCAGGTGTGCCCACAACTCGAGGCCTGTCTCCCTCACTTCTCCCTTGCATGGTCCCTTGTGAGGAGAGGGAGTGTGAAAGAGGGTGGGGCTGGGATGAGGGAGGTCCACAAGACCGGCTTCCAGAGATTTCCAGCCTGGCTCCATCTTGGCACCCCTGGAGCCATTTTCCCTCTGTTTCCTCATTATAAAATGGAGATGTCTGTCTGCTCCAACATCCTTTGTTAAAGCGACATGCGGGTAGAGGGCATAGGCATGCAGGGATTCTGACTTAGTCCCCACTTTGTTATGACCTACCTGTGGGACTCCTAAGTCACTCCACCTTTCTGGGGCTATTTCCTCATTCAGAGTAGAAGCTGGCACAGATGAACTGTTTTTAATACTTAGTTGTCTGTTTTAACAGTGACACTTAAAAAATAAAATCCTACAAGTATCCCAGTATATGACTGAGATAGCACAGATGAAACGGAAGCTGCTCTGGTTAAAGGCAGGAGGCCTGGACTGGGGCCTGCTCAGTCTCTCCCCTGCCATTCTGGCCCTTTCCCCACCCCAAGCACCTGTACATGCGTCCTTGGAAACTAGAGCTTCTCGGAACGCAGCGGGGGACCCGCTGGGGGGCTGAATTCTGAGATTGCGATCTTCACCCCCTTCTTTCACATGGTCCAGGTCAGAGGCCCTGAGAATCCCCCTCCCTCCCTTGACACCCCCGCCCCCACACTGGGCAGCTCACAGCCAATGTGTGAGTGTAAGAGTGTGTCAGGTGTGCAAGGGTGCAAGTGTACAAGTGCCACACCTGCAGGGGCTGGATGCCACCAGCGATGAGGTCAGAAATCATACGCACGCTGGCCCTCTTCTTTGGGTCCTGAGGCAGAAGTCGCGGAGTGGGACGCATCTCCTCTAGATACTCAATGATGGCCAGCTGTCCAGAGGGGAGCAGTGAGGCAGGGAGAGGGCCCAGGACCCCTGGACCAGAGGGGACAGGGCCAGCAAACTCCTCCTTCTCCTCTTCCAGCACCATCACTACACCTCTTCCCCCCTGCTTCTGCTCAGCTCAAGCCCTATAAGCCTTTTTGGACCTTATCATGCAGAACTTGGTTCTCCATGTGCTTGAATCTTCCCTTATTTTCCTAAATAACCTCGCACCCTCCCCACGAGTCTTGTATTGAGCCTCTCCTATGTGCTAGGCACCTTGACTGTACACAGGCGAGGAAGAGATGTCAGGCGCTCTCATTCAGGGCACTGCTCTCATGAGGGCCCTCCCCCAGGCCCTGCACTCACTGACTGGTGAATGGTGATTCCATCAATCTTCAGGGTTGGCACCTGCTTCATAGGATTCAGTGCCTGGAAGTCCTTAGAAAACTGTGGAGACAAGGCCCTGGTGGGCTGGGTGGCCTGGCCTGAGTTGGCCAGAGGAAAGCCAAGCAAGCAGGAGAACCCCAGGCCTGCCACCCACCCCCATCTCCCTTCCCTGGGAAGGCCCTAAATCCTAGGCCCAGGGTAATCCCTGGGGGATCCATGCAGTCTCCCAAAGCCCAGCTGCTGCTGAGCCATAGGCTTCATCCTAACAGCCTGGCTATGGGCTTTCCCTGCATCTCACACCGTGGCCACCAAGGCAGCTCCTACCCTAGTCAGCCATCCAGAGGGCCCAGTATGGGGTGGGGACCCACTAGCCACCCACCCTCCCAGGGTCAGGCACTGGAGAGCCCAGGCTAGGGTACACAGTCTGGACCTGGGCCCTTCCCAGGCCTCCTGCTACTGCACACCTTGCCACCTTGTCCCACAAGGGAGAGCCAGCAGCCTCCTGCAGTGATAGTCCACAAGACACAGGTTCACTTCTCTGGGGCAGAGCCTCCCCTTTTTCCCCTGCCTGGTGCCTGTTCAAGGCCTCCAATTCCCACATTGTGGTCTGGGCACAGCCTTCTTACCTGTTGGCCCCCATCCTTTATGAGATTGATGGGCACCGTCTCGTAGTCGATGCCTTTCAAGGCCAGAGCTAGGAGAGACCGCACATAGCGGAGTCAAAGAACAGCCTCTCGCCGTACTCTTAAAGGAAAGAGCCCTTCTAAGGTGACATTAAGGCCAAAGAGGGGGAGGCTTCTCTAACACTTCTGGGTGGTCAAGGCTCACCGTGGCACTATCCCCTTCTCTCAGCTTTCCTTGTCACCACGTGCTCCCTACCCCAGATGCACGATGCTCTGCCTCACTCACCCCTGAACTCTTAGAGACCTCAAGATCTGGACCCCCCCAATGGGGCCCTCATGCCCCCTGGATGGTGATAAAGGTGTATGCCCTGGCACTCTGTGGGCTCCTGGAGTTCAGCAAGGCTGTGTTGTGTTTAACTCTGCCCCCCCAGGGCCTTAAACAGTGGTGACCAGTGTCTTGGTTGAAGACATGCAATTACTCCCTCAAGAAGGCAACTAAGGGCCAAGGGAAGGAGCTCAGGTGGCCACACACAGCACACACAGACAGATGGCACTCTTGTTCTGTTGGAGAAGAATCTCTTCCAATCTATTCTCTCTGTTCTCAGGGCTGTTTACTAGAGATTCTAGACAGGCATCAGGCTCTTTGGTGGCCTCAGAGCATTTGCCGTGACTCCAGTCACCAGATTTCCTCTCCATCCCTTTTGATAATTTCCCCTGGCAAGCTGAGGGTAAAAAAAACTTGGGTGGGTCAACACTAGTGGAGAAGACTGCGTGCGTGTGCATGCATGTGTGTATTACACACACTTGGGCATTCAAGTATGGTGATGGCCAATCTCAGGGAAGGGCAAAGGAATGAGGGGAGGAGGACCAGACATGTCATGGTGTGGAGAGCCTGGGCAATACCAGGCTCCTCCTAGTGTTGGTCAGCTCCAGTCTGGGGAGTGACAGTGTTTGGGGCTGGAGGAGACACCTGGAGGAGGGAAGGCCAAAGCACACAGGCCGTACAGACAGCACCTATATTGCTCCGGCTTCTGGCTCAGCCAGGGCAGAGGTACTGGCGCCCAGGGATGGGTTCATCTTCTTGGAGGAAAGTTTCTCCTGGCACCCAGTGCTCTTGCTTACTGATCCCAGCAAATACCAAGTGACTATGGGATGGAGGAGGGGTCACGGAGGATGGCTTTGCCTCCACACTCTGGAGGCAAGCTTCTTGGGTTCAAATTTCATCACAGTCATTTGCTAACTGTGTGGCCCTGGGCAAGTAACTTAATGGGCCTCTGGAGCCAGACTACCTGGTTCAAATTCCAGTTCTGCCTCTTAGTAACTGAAAGATCTTGGGCAAGTTACTGAATGTTGCCTGTTTTTTGTGCCTCAGCTTCCTCCTCTATACAATGGGGACAGTAATAATAGTACCTCCCTCCTAGGGTTGCTGAGGTTTAAATGGAATCAGGCACACAAAAGCACTCAGCACAGAGCTTTTCCTCAGTACAGGCTGCTTTGGTTATGACCTTTGCCAAAGGCTGTGTTAAGCCAAGGGAGGGAAGGGTCAAACAAGGACTAGCCACAGGGCCCTTGTTTCTGCTTTTCTGAAGCCTCCGAGGCTGATGCTGGCCCGTTCTGTTTGCTTTGCCAGTTCAAATAAAATAAGAACTGAGAAGGGCCAGCTGTTCCCCTGCCAGTTACCAGGGGCATGTGGATTTTGTGACCCTGCTTTAAACATGGTTGCCAAGGGGCTTTGGAGAGCAGTGTTGGGAGAAGTGTCAGTCCCAAGGGAAAAAACAACCCCCTTCCTCCCACCCTCACCCTGTGTTTCCGGGGTGGAGATGCCATGCAGGGATGGGGGTTCTAGGAGCCGGGGGATGCTGGTTGCTGGGGGTGAGGTCCTCTCTGACAGAGCAACCCTTCCATCCCAGGCCAGCTTTGCACCCGGGCTTATCCGCCCCAGTCCACCCCACTCCAGCACTCATCCTGGAGGAGGCACATCTCTTACCAATTCGAACTCTCCATGAGCAGGAGCTTCGGAAATAGGAATAGAGGATGGGCTGAGGAGAGAGAGGATGAAGGCGCGTGTTAACCCATGCTGGGTGGGCTCCAGCTTGGGAGGAGTCAACCATTTCTTCCTGTCCTGCCAGGCCTCCTCTCTCAGGCCTGCATCTGTGCAAATCAGGGCAGACTCCAAGCTCTCTGAGAGGCTCATGAGGTCCCTTGGCTCCAAAATTATGCTGGTTTGAGCTCCTGAGGTCCAAGAGGCCCCCAAAGGGGCAGCTAGCCTGAGAGTGCCTTCCATACCTTGCCAGACTCTGTCATGGTATCGTGGTGACCCTCAGCCTCCCAGGAAATGTCCCCTCTGGCACAGCTTCTGAGCAGGGAAAGGAAACCTAAAGGGGTGGATTTCAGGAGCCAATGGGGAAGCTGGGCTACCCAGGCATTGGGGGAACTTTGACTCTGGTCAGAAAGGGCATTTCTGGCCAGGCACAGTGGCTCACGCCTGTAATCCCAGCACTTCGGGAGCCAAGGTGGGTGGATCATTTGAGGTGAGGAGTTTGAGACCAGCCTGGCCAACATGGTGAAACCCTGTCTCTACTGAAAATACAAAAAAAAATCAGCCAGGTGTGGTAGTGGGTGCCTGTAATCTCAGCTACTCAGGAGGTTGAGGTAAGAGAATAGCTTGAACCTGAGAGGTGGAGGTCACAGTGGGCCGAGATCGCACCACTGCACTCCAGAGCGAGACTGCGTCTCAAAAAAAAAAAAAAAAAAAAGGCATTTTTTTCCAACTCGCAGGAAGTTTCTTACGCTCCTGCTGGGGCCAGGTTTGGTGTCCCCCCAACAGAGCGTGGCCTGGTTTTGATGCAGTATTTTGAGTGGTGGAGCGGGCTGGGAGCTGGCATCTGGAGTCTGGACCTGGTGCAGGAACCAGCTCTGCATGACCTTGGACAAACCTCTGCCTTTTTAAATCTTCGGCTCCCTCATTTGTAAAACAAAGGTTGCCCTAAAATGATGGCAGGGCATCCTCTAGCAATGCAGCAAGACAAGGAATTCTAATTTTTTGACGCTTTGGTACATATCTCCTTCAACCCCACCTCCCAGCAGTCCTCCGGGCTCTCGGCTGTCCCCATAAAAACAGCTGGCAGATATGCTCACTCACCCCAAAGGTGAGGTCAAAAGCTGGCAGCTCACTGGGGCCCTATCTGGCCCTCAGAATTTCTGTTTGCTCAACACAGTAGTTTAAAATGTTTCAAGTAGTTGCCAATGTTTAAAAATCAGGACATTTCATTCTAGTATGGTGGGTCATGCCTGTAATCCCAGCACTTTGGGAGGCTGAGGCCAGCAGATCACCTGAGGTCAGGAGTTCGAGACCAGCCTGGCCAACATGGCGAAACAACATGGCTAAACAAAAATTAGCCAGGTGTGGTGGTGTGCATCTGTAATCACACCTACTTGGGAGGCTGAGGTATGAGAATTGCTTGAACCCAGGAGGCGGAGGATACAGTGAGCCAAGATCGTGTCACTGCCCTCCAGCCTGGGGGACAGAGCAAGACTCCATCTCAAAATAAATAAATAATAAAATAAAATAAAAATAAAAATCATGATATTTTATATACAACACCTGTTTGTTTTTTTTCTTTAAAAAAATCTGGAGACAGATTTGGGTTCCTAAATAGCAGCAATTGATGGGAACAGACTAATGGCCCCCATCAACCAGCGTATGCGCTCTCAGGTCTGCCATGGCCCATATCTGGCCCACTTTTCTCATTTTTGTTACCTTTGGGCCCTTGGGGGCAGCTGGGTGTGCGATCTCTACTCCAAGGTTTAAGGGGCTCAAAGTTAATTTCTCTGGTACTTCTTCGGGAGCCAGCATTTCAAAGTGGAACCCAGGAAAGACTCGCCAGTGATTAGCACTCATGAATCTTCCCACCAAAACATGTGTATCCCTATGGATAGGGGAGAACTTGAAAGAACTTCTCAGATGCCCTGTTTACTACCCCTCTGACTATAGACATTTCACCAAAGCTCCCTCTCCCCTCTGCCACCCCTAGCATATTAAGCTGCTCTCTGAACTTGCTATTGCCATCCCTGTACTACCAACTCAGTCTGCTAGATGGCAAGGGTGTAAGTGGGAACCTAGGCCCTTCCAAGATGGTTCCCAAGCCCAGCAGTCCCAGCCTGTCCTGAAGGTACCTTTTGTGGAGAAAGTAAAGATGGTCCTGGCACAGAAAGCAGGTGATGGGCAGAAAGTGTCTTTCGAAGAGGAGGAATTGGGTGGCCACAACTGGATCTTCCTTATTTGGAGATGCAACTCCCTTTCCTTACCTAGCCAGGCTACAGGGACTCCTGGTGCCAAGGGACAGGGACTGCTGGTGACCACTAGAGTGTGGCAGACATTAATTAGCTTAGAATCCCTGAAGAAATGCCTTACCTAATGGCTAAATGCCTTTGGATTACACCTTTGGATCTGTACTACGAGTGACCAGAAGCATGGTAAATGCTGCTGCCCTCCGTCACGACCCACAAGCAGGAAACCTGAAATCTCTTAGGCAATTTCTGCCTTCTCTTACCAGTGATAACTATGTAAACCATGCCCCGTTCCTTTCTGCACTTGTAGAACTAAACTTTAAGCCCAAGTATCCATCTCATCAGCACTCCTAGAAGACCTGTGTTTCCAATTCAAATATGCATTCTGATTACTTTAGCAGATTTTATTTTTAAACCATGTCTTACACATGATTTGAGAAAAAGACTCCTAAAATCCCATTTGGAAGAGGGAGGACTATACATTATTAACGTGACGCAAAGTCCCATCTAACGTGCCACCTTCCTTAGTGCCACAAAAGTGGTTCTCAAACTTCATGGCACGTTAAGAACCATCTAGACCGCTTATAAAAACATGCAGATTCTCGAGCCCGTTCCACCAGAGATGAACAGAGTGGCTCTGGAGCAGGCCCCGGGAAGAACATGTGAAAGCCGTGAAGCTCCCCAGGTGATTGTCATGACTGCCTCTCCTCGCTCGGGGCCTTTTTTTTTTTTTTTTGAGCCGGAGTCCCGCTCTTTCGCCCAGGCTGGAGTGCAGTGGCGCGATCTCGGCTCACTGCAAGCTCCGCCTCCTGGGTTCACGCTATTCTCCTGCCTCAGCCTCCCGAGTAGCTGGGACTACAGGCGCCCGCTACCACGCCTGGCTAATTTTTTTGTATTTTAATAGAGACAGGGTTTCATCGTGTTAGCCAGGATGGTCTCTATCTCCTGACCTTGTGATCCGCCCGCCTCGGCCTCCCAAAGTGCTGGGATTACAGGCGTGAGCCACCGCGCCCGGCCCGGGGACTCTTAAAATACAAACATTACTGGAAGGTCACCTCCTGCTAGGGCCAAGAGAAGAGCATGAAGGGCTGCGAGAAATTGGGAGGCTTGGGGCGACGTTTGGAAGCCTTAGTGGAGGGAGGGGTCTGTTATGGGGAGCAGGGAGGGCGGAGCAGAAGTGAAGCGCGACCGGACAGCGACTCCACCCTGCTACGCACTCCCTACCAGGACCGCCTCCTCTGGCCCAACCCTCCCGGAACTTCGAGCCCCAGCGGGCAGCGCGCAGCACGCAGGCGCAGAGCGTGCCCGGCGCAAAGCACTGCATGCCGGGAGTCGTTGTCGGCCTGGGCGGGCGGTGCAGCTCACTTCTGACCCCGCCCCCCAGGGTCTCCAGGTGTCTAACCAGCTTCCCTCCACCCGGGTGCGCGTCACAGACCTTCCCCGCCTGCATCTGGCACTTCGCGCGACCCCCTCCTCCAGGCCGAGAAACTTCGCGCCTGGGACCTGCCGACGACTAAGGCTCAGTGAGACTCGACGAATCAGGCCCGTGTCTTTCGTCCGGGTAAAGCGAGGGGCTGGACTAGAAAGATCCTTCCGGTCGCCTCTGGCTCGCCCAGCTCTCCCGCCACGCCCCGTACCTGGGGGCTGCTGGGAGTTGCAGTTCCCTGAGCCCGACCCCTCCTGCCCAGTCCCCCCCGCCCCGGGCCGGCCGGCCCTCCCGGTCCCGACATGCTCTGCGCCTCCTGCCGCCTCCTAGCGGCCCGGGCCGCGACCACGCTGCCCGCCCCGCCCCGAGCCCGGGGCCCCGCGCTCCGCTGCAGTGAAGGGCGTTGCATTTCCCGGGGTACCCCGAGCTGCCCTCTTGTGACTCCTTGGCGGGGCGGCTGGTCAGACAAAGTGTGCCTCCGGGCCGGAGGGCGACCCAGAGGAGGGGGAAGATGCCGCCGGCCACGGGCGGAGGCCTGGCAGAGTCCGAGCTGCGTCCCCGGAGGGGCCGCTGTGGCCCCCAGGCTGCTAGGGCCGCAGGCCGGGACGTGGCCGCTGAGGCTGTGGCGCGAAGCCCCAAACGGCCTGCTTGGGGCTCACGGCGCTTCGAGGCGGTCGGCTGGTGGGCCCTGCTGGCCTTGGTGACGCTGCTGTCCTTCGCCACCCGCTTCCACCGCTTGGACGAGCCGCCGCACATCTGGTGAGTGATGGGAGGGACTCGGCGGGCACCATGGCAACCGCGACGGGACGCCGCCCTCTGATTGGCCCGAGGGTACGGAGGGGGCGGGATCTATAGGAGGAGGGCCACGGTGGAGGGGAACTTGAGGTATCGGGTGGGTTGGCCTCTGGCGAGGTGCATTCTCTGGGAGGGGGATCGTTTTGCTCTGGTGGTGGGGCAGTGGGATTCTTAGTATCTGAGGAAGCAGCCCTCATGTCTTCCAGGTTATGCTACAGTGCATCACCTGGCTTGCAAATTGTGGCTTTTAAAGGTGCTTTCAACTTTCCAAAGAGAATTGCAAATTTTTGGGTACAGAATTTTCTAAGGCCTGAGTTCCTATGTCTGCAGGATTTTCAGGCATCAACAGAGGAGAAAATACCTAACTGTGTACCTTTATCCTATAGGGCAAGGACAGTTTGGGTGTTCAGGTATGGTGACCAAAGGATTTTATGAGGCAGAACTCTTCTTGTGAGAAGAGATTTATTTTCTTAAAGGTTTTAGCTTGTACTATCCAGATACTGGGTGTCAGAAATGGAATTCTTTAAGCAAAAAGCAGGCAAGAAAACAGACTGTCAGGGTTGCTTTATTTAGAAATTAATAAATTAGCTTGTTATTGTGTCGTGACTGCTGGCAGAAGATGAGACTCCTGGGTTAGAGACAAAGGACTTTATTACAGGAAATAGGATGCATGTTAGAAGCAGTTTCCCTTGCCATCCAAGTCCCACAGGGTGACGCTATGGGTTTAAATGGATGACTGCACAGGCAGTGGGTTGCATCCAAGTGAAGGAACGACAAGCTTGGAAAATCTGCTGTTTTATAGAAGGCAGTACGCAGACCTCCTCTTTGTCCTGGAGGGAGACACTGCCTCTTCTCTCAAAGTTGCTTGCTGCAAACACAACCATGAGAAATGGCCCAGGTGAGATGCAGTCAGGGCCTTGCATTCTTGGTATACCCAGAATGATGTGTAGAGGCACGAGCAATCTGACAGCCTCTCTCACTCCTCGATTCTATGGTCTTGGCTTCTAGCAGATTTTCACATGAATATACAACTCCCCTGGCTACTCACATCTTTTCAGTTTGTCCCTTACAGCATTTAATTAAGGTTGTTGTCAATGGGACTCTAAGCAGCAGAATAAGGCCAGCTTACAGTATTTACCTCAACCATGCCCTCCAGGGTCCTGGATTCAGCCACTTGTGAATAAGTCCTGGGGGCACCGAGGAATCTTATTTCAGACATCTGGGCTGCAGTCTAAGACCAGTCTATTAACCACTGTGACCTGTGCACAGGGGTTCAGATTGATCTCTGATCTTTGGTGTCATTACCAGTAATTACAATAGCCCACTACCCTTGTAAAAATTTTTTTAAGAAAGTAATTACCAGGCTGGGCGCAGTGGCTCACACCTGTAATCCCGGCAGTTTGGGAGGCCGAGGCGGGCAGATCACCTGAGGTCAGGAGTTCGAGACCAACCTGGCCAACATGGTGAAACTCCGTCTCAACTGAAAATACAAGACTTAGCCGGGCATGATGGCGGGTGCCTGTAATCCCAGCTACTCGGGAGGCTGAGGTGGGAGAATCACTTGAACCTGGGAAGCAGAGGTTGCAGTGAGCTAAGATCGCACCATTGCATTCCAGCCTAGGCGACAAAGCCAGACTCTGTCTCAAAAAAAAAAAAAAAAAATTAACTACCATGATTAATGGAAAGATATTTTGTGACCCATTCTTCCTTACACTAACATATTACTTGGAGGAGTGCAGGCCACTCCAGGATTTTTGTTAGATTTTTATTTGGATCACCATCAAATTTGATTACCATTACAGTGGTTTAAACCACATGGGCAGTGTCACTGAACAGTTGCAGCCTCAATCACTAGACAAGGCATAACCTAAGTAAGGCCCTTAGGATCTCAGGAGAAGCATGTGATTTGTATCAGCCGCATTGATAGAAGGTGGTGCTGATCTGTGTGTTTGCACACCTATGAGGGAGGTCTGCGTTTGGGAGTTGGTGTTGATGTCATCAGGCACGTGGGAATAGTTCAAGACTGGCCGTGTCCATGTGAGTTTTTGTTTTCTTTTTTTATTTTCTTTTTTATACTGACCTGCTAGATAAAGTTTTTATGTTTTCATAGTGAGATGACAAACTCAGCCACAGGTCAGATTGCCAGCCACAGTTGCTGCTTGACCTAGATGGACCATGTGAATGTTTGCCAGGCTTTGGTGCTGGATAGGGACAAAGAGAACATTGTTTCCCTTCTCTTTACATCTCCAGGGTCCTGTGGTGTTCCTTCCCCAGATGCCAGGATTGTTTCTTTCCTTCCATTGCTACATAATGAGTGTGTCCTACCCTAGTAACTATAACTTCACCTTTTCTCCATTTATCCCCTACCAATACGCAGGCCTTCTAATATCCAATTGTTAGAAAATTGACAGAGGCCCATTATGTCTTCTACCTTGACACATGTGGGCCACTGTAGGGGGACTTTAAAAGCACTATACCCAACCAAATGATCATTAACTTTATGTTCTGGCACCAGGCCATTCCAACAAGACAATCTAGTGACTGAACTAGAATTAAGTCTGAATTACATAGATAGCCTCCTCCTCCCAGCTGATCTGGGCTTTCTGTAAGGGGGAAGAAAGATGAATCATGGCCAGAAATGGTCAGGGGAGAATCTCACATTTTCAAAATAGGTTTATATAACCCTCCACCCCTTTTTCCTGATCATTACCCAGTTGGTAGGCAAAAGGAGATGACCCATTTCTGAGAATGGCTGCCTTAGGTGACCAAACTGCTTCAGTAAGGTTTGCAGACCAGGAGGAGGTTAAAAACATAGAATCAAAAATCTTTTTGAGTTGATCTTTGAGGGAACTGTTCAGTACTTGACAATGTCATGCCTGTGGATGGTAGGGAGTGTGGGAGGTCCATCGAATACCTTGGCTATTGACTGTTGACACTGTTGGGTGGCCATTGCGACAAAAAGATATGCCAGTGTCAGACTGTAGATGGTTTGGAAAGCAGAAAACCTGGCAGTTTAGTTTCAAGGGCCACAGTGGTATACACAGAGTCAGATAATTGGACTGGAAAAGCAACATCAGCACTGTAAACTGAAAAAGTATCAGCAGTAGCAAGGTACTGATGAGAGCCTAGAGAAGGGAACAAAGTCCTAATGTCAATCTCCCAGGAGCAGGTGTGGTCAGTGCCCCTTGCAATGTGGCTTCCTTTACTGCAAGACAAGCAGGCCAACTTTTGGCAGGAGTCACAAGTCTGGCACGCAGTGGTGGCTTCTGCCTCAGAAACATGTAGTCCCTTACGTTGTGCCTAGCCCATGATGGTAGATGTTTCCACACCGGTTGCATGAATCCAGGTGGCTATGGCAGCAGTCTTGGTGGTGCAGGCTGGATCAGCAGTTTGATTCCAGTCAGTCTTACGAGAGTACCTGCCCTTAGTGTGGGCACCTACGTGAGTGATCCAGTCTGTCCTATTGGCAGGCAGCCATGATGTGTTTCCACACTTCTCAGCTTTCATCTCTCAGTATTTAGTCTTCCAAGTGGCATACCAAATGCTTCAATCCTTACTGCCATCAGCCATCCAGAGTTATCATTGGGGCTAAGTGCCTGCTGCTGCTTGGTGGGCAACATCAGCTTTTAACTCAGCCTAATCATTGGTGAGCCAGGCCTAAGCATTTACAGGAACCCCTGTGAATCAAGGGCCCTACTGAACAGCAGCTCGGCTTCAGGTAGCAGAGAAGGTTGTTTCTCCCAGAGTGGGAGCTGCCACTTCTTCACGTAAAACCAAGATGCCTCTAGGGCCAGGCTAGCTATACTCTTTTTTTTTTTTTTTTTTTTTTTTAGAGATGAGATCTGACTCTGTTGCCCAGTCTGGAGTGGAGTGGTACAATCATAGCTCACTGCATCCTCAAACTCCTGGGCTCCTCCTGTCTCAGCCTCCTGAGTAGCTGGCACTACAGGCACGTGCCACCATGTCCAGCTAATTAAAACAGATTTTTTAAGAGCTGAGTTCTCACTATCCTGCCAAGGCTGGTCTTGAACTCCTGACCTCAAGCCATCCTCCTGCCTCAGCCTCCTGAATAGCTGGGATTACCAGCTGTACTCTTGAATGTACTATTTCCATAGGATCAGTGAGGCTTGTTAAACCCTTCCCTTGTTATCAGTAGATTCCCATTGACCCACCCCAAAGTGGGAATACTAGGCCAGGGAGTCCTGAGGCCTTTATGGGTCTGGCAATCAATTTCAAAGTGTTGAGTAGTTAACTAAGGAGTTAATAGCTGTCCTTTTAAAAAGGGTGTGCTTGGTACCTATGTCCAGCAGGTGGCACTGTGATTCTGGTGCATGGCTCTCAGTACTCCAGCAGCCACAAAGTTGTTTTTTGTTTGTTTGTTTTTGTTTTTTGAGATTCTCGCTCTGTCGCCCAGGCTGGAGTGCAGTGGCGCAATTTCAGCTCACTGCAACCTCTGCCTCCTGGCTTCAAGCAATTCTCTGCCTTAGCCTCCCGAGTAGCTGGGATTACAGGCGCCCCTATCACGCC
The DNA here is from genome assembly GCF_000001405.40 of Homo sapiens. Classification (NCBI taxonomy): domain Eukaryota; kingdom Metazoa; phylum Chordata; class Mammalia; order Primates; family Hominidae; genus Homo; species Homo sapiens. The sequence continues at coordinate 77,315,870 of NC_000014.9, read as the reverse complement.
TGGCTACCTTTTTGTATTTTTAGTAGAGACAGGGTTTCACCATGTTGGCCAGGCTGGTCTCAAACTCCTGACCTCAGGTGATCCGCCCGCCTCGGCCTCCCAAAGGGTTGGGATTACAGGCATGAGCCACTGCACCCAGCCGCCACGAAGTTTTTAAGCCTGTGATTTATTTCCTTTCCCTTCCAGGGATGTAGATTTTTTTCTTCTGGACCACCAGGAGAGGACAGGATCACCTGTCTACACACAGCAGCCCTTGCCCAGGATAATCCTCTTCGACACTTATGGGATCAGTATCAGCTATACATTCAGCACTGGAAGCCACAGGAATAGTACATTGAAGAGGCCCAAAGAGCTCTGCCTGGAATGTCACTTTAACTTCCCTTCCCTACAGGGAGCGTGGCTCAAACATTACCAGTTTAATCTGGACACTTTTTCCCCTCGAACTAATGCGTCTAGAAGGCCTGCATCAGGGGCTATGGTGACAGCCAGCCAGAGATTTTGCCATTTCCCAGTCGGAGAGTGTGGCGGTGCTGGCTGCAGGGAGTGGGGAGAAGCTTTTTCTGCTCCTTTAGCTCTTCACTAGGCTTGCATCACGACCTCCCCAGTGTCGCTCCCTCAGGGTTAGGGGCCCTTTTCCCTTTAGTCCTTGTGCGCACTGCTATGGCTGTCCCTGCAGTCCTGAGTGTCTGCAGTAACCTCTGTGTGTAGTACATCCTTCCCCCCATGAGACATGGTAGGGTGGAGATGTGGGACCTCATATCCAGCAGAGCCCTGAGTTTGCCCCTCTCCTCCCTGGGGCTCTCCAGCATACTAGGATGGGTGTGTATGACCTTCAGTCCCCTTTAGGGACATGGAAACCTCAGCCCAACCTTTAATCATCTCAGTCTTTAATGCAGCTGAGGTTGTGGTAGAGTGGGAGGGATCCTGGGACATAAAGGGAGAGAGTGGCTCCGAGCCACAAAGCAAGTCATATTTATATTTACTTTTGGCTTGAGTACACAGCTCCCCCAAGGATCTTTCAGTGTTTCATTTTACTCAAAGTTCTATCTTATATAGCAGGGTCCTATTGCCGCACCGTTGGAGACTTGTTGATTGAGCAGCCATATCCATATTGCCTTTTGGCAGGGGCTGCTGGGCTTGCTGCCATTGTCATGATCACTCCTCTTCCTCCTTTTGCCCAGAGGACAGGGCAGTAACCAGGGTGACATTCAGTGGCTTGTTTCAATCCTACCTCTTTCCATCAGCCTCTCTAATAGTGGGACAGTGGGGGACTCTCACTACCCCATTGCCTGCCCATGGAGGCCCTCATTCTTTCTCTTACCAAAGACTATGTCTCTCCTCATCCTATGCTTGTCTCCACACTGTCAGGGGCTGTGATTTTATCTTAGCCTACTTATTAGCTAATAAGTTAGCCTGTCACTGTTTTTTGCATGCTGACAGAAGACAAAGTCTTGGGTCAGAGACAGAGGACTTTATTTCTCATGGCACAGCAAGTGGGATGTGCATCAGCATGTTGGCATCAGTTTCCTTTGCCCCTAAGTCCCACGTGGTGCTGAGGGACTGGATGAATGCTTGCACATGCAGTAGCTTGCATCACAGCTGAGTAATATTAAGCTTAGGGAATCTGCTGTTTTATGGCAAGCAATAAACAAGACAGCCCTCTGTCTCAGAGGGAGACACTAACTTCCCTCAAGGTTGTTTACTGCAAACAGCATTCTTGGCATACCTTGCAAGGCCTGGAGGAGCACAAGAGAGCCACGGAGGACTGTCTCTCCTAACACAAGCAATAAAAGCCAGGAGGAAATATGAATGTTACAACTGGTTTTACTTGGGAAACTTTTGAAGTAAAAATCTGGAGCCCAGGCTGGGTGCGGTGGTTCACACCTATAACCCCAGCACTTTGGGGGGCTGAGGCAGGTGGATCACCTGAGGTTTGGAGTTTCGAGACCAGCCTGGCCAACATGGTGAAACCCCATCTCTACTAAAAATACAAAAATTAGCCAGGTGTGGTGGCGGCCGCCTGTAGTCCTAGCTACTTGGAAGGCTGAGGCAGGAGAATCGCTTGAACCCGGGAGGTGAAAAGTGCAGTGAGCCAAGATTGTGTCCATGTACTCCAGCCTGGGCAACAAGAGTGAAACTCTGTCTCAAAAAACAAGCAAAAACAAAACAAAACAAAACAAAACAAAAAAACTGGAATCCTTTTGTTAGTATGTTCCCAAACAGATTTAAAAACTAACCACAAATGTCAGGACAGTTTAAGGAGGGCCCAGCAGGGATGGTACTTTATAATCTACAGAATTCTTTCACATGTGTTATCTGAGTTGAGCCCTAAGGCCTCCCTGGGAGGTGGGCAGGGCAGATAATATTATTGTCTTCATTTTGTAGATGAGATAAGAGGACTAGAGAGAATAAGTGATTTTGGCGGGTTGTGCCATTAATTAGTGGTGGAGCTGGGACTGGATCTCTCTTTCTGCAAATCAGTTTCATTACCCTGCTTTGAAGTTATTTCTGTCTTCGACCTCACCATGCCAATGTCCTCACTGCCTGTCAAGGTGTTTAGCAGATGCTGAAATAGACCTATTCTTTTGCCTATCTTGGACCCACCAAGTAAGATATAAAAAGAACCTTAGATTCTTAGGTAAAGCATGTTTTCCCCTTATGTAGTAGGTCAATAATGACTGCTCATGACCTGGGGATTGATGACTACTAGAAAGTAACCCTTCTTTTGAGCTACAGGGAGAAAATTACAAATAGAAAAGGCCAGGCTCTGCTGGATGACTTGGCTGCGTTCCCAAAGCCCTCATGTATGGTGTAGAAAGGTGTATGTGGTTGTATAAAAGAGGACTTTGCATTGTGTTTGAAAGCCTGTTTATTCAAATCACTTATTTACTTGCAAAATAACTTAAGCAATGAGGATAGGTTTTAGATGTGGTCTTAATTTAGTAAGAAAGCCTTCAACTTTTATATACTAGTTAGTATAAGATCAGCCAGATCACAGTTAGCAGCTTACTTGTCACAGGGTGGCTGAGCAAAATGAGACTCCTGTGACACTCATGGTTTATAGACTCAACTCTGACCAGCAGCCCAACAGCGTCGTAATGGACCTTCTAATAGCAAATGTTGTCTCAGAAGTTAGCAGACTTGGAAGAAACTTTTTTTAATTTAAATTTTTGTTTACACTAGCTACTTGAAGATAGGAAGAAAACTTTTTTTTTTTTTGAGACGGAGTCTCACTCTGTCGCCTAGGCTGGAGTGCAGTGGCGCGATCTCGGCTCACTGCAAGCTCTGCCTCCCGGGTTCACGCCTCAGCCTCCCTAGTAGCTGGGATTACAGGCACGTGCCACCATGCCTGGCTAATTTTTTGTATTTTTAGTAGAGACAGGGTTTTACCATGTTAGCCAGGATGGTCTCCATCTCCTGACTTCGTGATCCGCCTGCCTCGGCCTCCCAAAGTGCTGGGATTACAGGTGTGAGCCACCGTACCCGGCCAGAAGAAAACTCTTACTACAAACCTTTCCATATTATGAGAAAACATCTTGTCCTTTTAAAATAAATAGAAACTCAAGATACAGAGTAAGTATATGTATATTTAACTCAATTGGTAACTGGCTAGTGAATATTTGCTCGCCTTTCTCATCTATCTAAATGAAGACCAGTGGCCAGCTTGATGTCTTTCTTCCTAAAATCACTTGTGTCAAAATATTTTTTTTTTAAATCCAGACTTTTGCATTAATTGTTTGAAATGCATAGCCTTTAATTTTAACCATGCTTTATGAAGGCCATTTGGATTTTATGATAATTTTAAAATTCTTGTTTCTCTTTCTGTGTTTCCTTTAGTTGGGATGAGACTCACTTTGGAAAAATGGGAAGTTACTATATCAACCGTACATTTTTCTTTGATGTGCACCCGCCCCTGGGAAAGGTGAGCAGTGTGGTGAATAGCAGCTCTCTGGTCCCAGAGGATTGTTCCTAAGGGCTGGAGCCACATCTTGATTTTGGATTTGGGGCTTCTAGAAAGAATTTGGGACTTGTAGAAAGAATTTTCTGACATTTCAGACCAGCTACTTTCATGGAAAATCTCTGGTGTTTTTTAAGGGTCCTCTGGGCTCAGAAATGGAAAGAGGGCCCATCAGCTGAGGGAGGGATGAACAAAGTGTGGCACAGCCATATGGTGGAATAATATTTGGTCATAAAAAGGGATGAGGTTCTGATACATGCTACAACATGGATGAACCTGGAAAACATGCTAAATGGAAGAAGCCAGACACAAAAGGTTACATACCCTGTGATTCCACTTATATGAAATATCTAGAACTGACAAATCCGCAGAGACACAAAGTAGATTAGTGGTTGCCAGGATCTCAGGGCAGGGAGGATTAGGCAGTGACTGCAAATGGGTGTGGGGATTCTTTATGGGGTGATGACATGTTACAGAATTAGGTAGTGGTGATGATTGCACAATCTTGTGAATATACTTAAAACCACCCATTGCACACTTTAAAATGGTGGATGTTATGTTATGTGAATTTGTCTGAATTTTAAAAAAGAAAAAAGAAATAGGAATACATTGCATGAAGCAGAAATAGCTTACGAGGCTGATATCCATATGGGGCTGACTTCTTTCTCCCTTCCCATGCCCAGCATACACATGGTTTGATCTGTTTCTCTCACATGTTTTACCATTAGAAATTCAACCAATTAGAATTCACTTTACTCTTTTTTTGTTTGTTTGTTTTTGAGACAGAGTTTCACTCTTGCCACCCAGGCTGGACTGCAATGGTACAATCTTGGCTCACTGCAACTTCTGCTTCCCAAGTTTAAGTGATTCTCTTGCTTCAGCCTCCCAAGTAGCTGGGATTACAGGCGCCCGCCACCACGCTGGCTAATTTTTGTATTTTCAGTAGAGACGGGGTTTCACCATGTTGGCCAGGCTGGTCTTGAACTCCCAACCTCAGGTGGTCCACCCGCCTTGGCCTCCCAAAGTGTTGGGATTACAGGCAAGCCACCGCACCTGGCCCATTTTAGTCTTTTAAAAACAAAAACCTCTGAGAAGGCTCTCGGATTAGCCCTGGAATTCACTCAAGGCTTTCTTCCTAACTGGAGACTTAGATCTTGGGCACCAAGGGGACAGGAATTTTCCTGTGATTAAGTGGGGAGGGATCTTGGAGCAGGTAGTACTTGGGGGATAAAGGCAGGAGCAGGGAAGGCAGGAGGAGGCAGGGAGTGTAATCTTTTATCAAAGATCACAAAGATCACCTATGGTTGGGCTTAAGGAAGCATGAGAGCAGGGGGCCCTACAGCGTGGAGGGATGGGAAGCGAGGTAGAACAGGTAGCCTATTTCAAAATTGGCTCTGAGCCCAAGAAAAGTGTAGAACATATTATGCCTCTTCCTATCTCTTTTATACTATAACAACAATAACAAGAACAATTAAAAACATTTATTCTGTTCTAGTCACCTTAGAGGCATTATCTCATGTAAGCCTCAGAACAACCTTATAAAGTAGGTATTGTTTCATCCCCATTACACAGATGGGGAACTGAAGGAAGATAAGTAGTTCGTCATAGGGAACCAAGCTAGTAAGTGGCAGATTCAAGGGTCAGGCTGGCATAGAGCCTTCTCTCTTAATCATGACACCACAGTGCCTCACAAGCTTGCCTTGGCTCACTCCTCAGACTACATCTGTTACTACCATAGAATTAAACAACAGAACATGTTGAGTATTTGCATGGAGCTCGCCTGGGAACCAGATTTCTGATGAAGATTTTTCATAGGAAACCCAGCCCAGTCTTTCTGTGGGGACTGCCCGTTCTTTTTTGGAGTTTTCCTGGTTCTCAGCGCACTGTGGACATGTGCACAGGACTGGCTGATTTGTTTAATTTACCTAAGCCTTAGGCCAGGCGTGGTGGCTCATGCCTGTAATCCCAGCACTTTGGGAGGCTGAGGTGGGCAGATCACCTGAGGTCAGGAGTTCGAGCCCAGCCTGGCCAACGTGGTGAAACTCCACGTAAAAATACAAAAATTAGCTGGGCATGGTGGCACACGTCTGTAGTCTCAGCTATTTGGGAGGCTGAGACAGGAGAACAGCTTGAACCTGGGAGGTAGAGGTTGCAGTGAGCTGAGATCGTGCCACTGCACTCCAGCCTGGGCGACTGAGCAAGACTCCATCTCAAAAATAAATAAATAAATAAATATAATAATATTATATCAAAGCCTTGCCTTCCTCACATCTGGTTGCCCGTGTGAAGGGAGAAGTGTGAGGCTTCTAAGGCTGCCCTCAGGGAATGCGGCCCATCTGCACCCCTAATTTAGCTCCTGATGGTTCTGTGTTCTGTCTGGTTGAAAGAGAGTGATGAGCAAACTGGAAACCTGTGAGAGGGTGCAGTAGCTTCTGCAGGTTCTGAGGCCAAGCCAGTCAAGGAATCAAAACCCCTCCAAGTAGCAAGCAGGAAGTTTTCTCCTTTGCTACTGAGGCCAAGACCTGCCACTTCACATTGCCTACCAACCCTGGGCACCTGGAACTTAAACAGGAACTTAAAACATAAGACAGGAACTTAAAACATAAAAAAGCCTGCACGTAGTAGACAGAAGGAAGTACAGGGTCAGAAGCCTCATCCACCACATTTCTAGTCCGCAGAGGTAACCACGGTCATCTTTGTCAATAGTTTCTTACATTCCTCTAGGAATTCTTTTATACAAATACAAGCGTGTATGTTTTTATATATGTACACATGAACAACACATTATATATACACACAATTCTTTTTAAAAACTCAAATGGGATAAGTCTACAGTTGTTCAGCAGCTTGTGTTTGAAACATGATATATCTTCTTTCCACATTAGCACATGAAGATGCGCTTCATTCTGTTTAATGGCCGTGTGTCATTCTATTATGTAGATGTGCCGTAAGTATTTATCCCTCTTCAGTTGGTGGGCAGCATGTATGTTATTTCCAGTTTTTAGTCATTACAAAAGATATTGCAGTGAACATCCTTGTACATATATCGTTGTATAGTTGCGCAGGTATATATGAAAAATTCCCAGCAGCCAAGCTAAAAAATCGAAGAATATGCACATTTAAAATTGAGTTAGATATTGCTAAGTTTTCCTGCAAAGATGTTGTAATCATATATACTCCCACCAACAGTGTATGACAGTGCTTTCTTCCCCACATCATTGCCAGCACTGGTACGATCATACTTTAAAAACTTTGTTGGCCGGGCGCGGTGGCTCACGCCTGTAATCCCAGCACATTGGGAAGCCGAGGCGGGCGGATCACCTGAGGTCAGGAGTTCGAGACCAGCCTGGCCAACATGGTGAAACCCCGTCTCTACTAAAAAAACAAAAATTAGCCGGGCGTGGTGGCAGGTGCCTGTAATCCTAGCTACTTGGGAGGCTGAGGCAGGAGAATCACACGAACCCAGGAGGCGGAGGTTGCAGTGAGCTGGGATCGCACCATTGCACTCTAGCCTGGGTGACAAGAGCAACACTTCATCTCAAAAAAAAAAAAAAAACAAAAAAACTTTGTCAATTGGAGAGTAAAAAATGACATATCACTGTTTTCATTTGCATGACTGTATGAGTTAGGTTGAACATTTTTTCATATGTTAGCCATTTGTATTTTGTTTTCTATGAATTTGTCATTTTTTTCTAGTAATTCATTTTTTTTCTATTGATTTGAAAGAGTTGTTTAGTTAAGAAATTAACTTGGGGCCAGGCGTGGTGGCTCATGCCTATAATCCCAGCACTTTGGGAGGCTGAGGCGGGTGGATCATGAGGTCAGGAGTTCAAGACCAGCCTGGCCAAGATGGTGAAACCCCGCCTCTACTAAAAATACAAAAATTAGCCGGGCGTGGTGGCAGATGCCTGTAATCCCAGCTATGCGGGAGGCTGAGGCAGAGAATTGCTTGAACCTGGGAGGCAGAGGTTGCAGTGAGCTGAGATTGTGCCACCGCACTCCAGCCTGGGTGACAGAGCGAGACTCTGTCTCAAAAAAAAAAAAAAAAAAAAAAGAAGAAATTAACTTGGGGCTACTTTTAACCTTAAGGGAACTGAGAGAGAATTGAATTTTGAGTGTCTTCCAAGTGCTTGGTATAGTGTTAGGTGTTTACTTAATAGCACCTCTAATCCTCATGCCCCCTGTGAGGAAGTTTTTATTACCTATAGCTCAGAGATACTAAATATTGTCCGTGATCAGAGAACTAGAATATAGGGTACTGAGATCCAAAGCATCTGTACATTTCTTCTCTCTAGACCAGCCAAGCAGTCTGGAAATGTATGACCAATACCAGGCGAGCTTGTCCTGCGAGATCCCAGGTGGGAAGAGGGATCCATTTGATTGCCACTTGGCAGCTTTAGTTCATCTAGCTATTTGGATGACCCTGTCTGAACCCTGGGGTCCCTGCCTTCCTTTTTAAAAACAAGTCTTTGTTGTCTTTTACTGCCAGACTTTGGCTTCTATACCTTGACCTGGAGCTATAGAGACTGGCTCTGTTTAGAACTACTTAGAGAAAAAAGTGGGTTGGTTAGTAGTCTAAATCCATGTCCCACAAGTGTGGCTGGGAGGGACTTTCCCCACACAGCCAGTGTATTCCCTCCCCCAACACAGCCTGCCAGAGCTCGGGGGTCAGGCTGGAGCAGCCTGGGGCTGTCCCAGATGGTTGGCATTTGCCAGCAGTTTTTATACTTCAGCTGCTTCTGATTGCTTGTGTGAAAAATAGAATTTTATAATGTTGATGGCCAAGGAAATATACAAAAGACACGGCCGATCTTGTCAAAGGTTTTGAAGGATTCATGACTCACAGTCTCAGTTTCTAATTGATTTGTTCTGGCTTGGGAGGTACCAAGGATGCCCTCCTTTGGAATATTAGGAATGGGAGAAACCAGCCTCTGGCCTTTGGCAGTTTTTCTCTTCCCCTCTGGGCAAAGCATCTGTCTTTGCATTCCTCTGTCTGATTTTCTTCTCTTGTCTCTATTCCTGGTATGTAGCTCCTTGGTCTCTTTTCTCTCTCACTGTGACTTGGAATCTCACTTTCCTTTCAAAAGGCCAATTCCCCAGGAATCAGCCTCTGTCCAAGAGCTGCCGTGTTTTATTTTATACCATCTGAAGGAAAGCGGAATCAGAGAGCCCCTTACTGACTCTACCCTTCAAATTGTGGGGCTCTTTTTCCTTCCTGAGTGTTTAGGTTGTGCTGTTCCTAGACCTCGGCCATAATACAAGAGAGGATTTGTTTCAAGCAGTGAGCTCTGTAGACAAAAGATTCTTTGCTCTGTGGCAGCTGCAGGAGAAAATGTTGCATTGGCAACATTTTCTATGGACAGTTGTCAAGGGAACCCAAAGTCTGTGGGTGCAGCTGGAGGGAAGTTCAGAGGACAGAGGAATCTTCTCCCAAAGGCTTCTCATCTTTTTGTTTGTTCTTCTCTCCTCAGATGCTGATAGGTCTTGCTGGCTACCTGAGTGGATATGATGGTACCTTTTTGTTCCAGAAGCCTGGGGATAAATATGAGCATCACAGCTACATGGGAATGAGAGGAGTAAGGCTTCCTGACTTGAAATGGACTGACTGAACCCTGGGGCCACACTAAACCAGAAATGTTATAGTTAGCAGCCCTGGCGTGGTGGCAGGTGCAAATAAAGGGACTTTGGGTGGTGAGGAGAGGGGAGGATGATCAGACCCTCCCCTGTGGTGTAGATACTCAGAACTGAGGTGAGGAAGAAGGGAAGAGGAGGCTGCAAATAATACAGAGATGACATAGATAGAAGCAGGCACGCATTGTCACCTGCTGCCCTGCCCCGGTATACTGTCAGACCTCAGGTTGGAGAACAGCCTGGAACCCGGGCAATCAGGAGTCTCCTGCAGCCCCAGCAGTGCCTCCATGCACTGGCACGCTGCCTGCTCCTCCCCTCACAGCCACAGCTGCTGGAGTGTTGCCTACATCTCAGAGCCTTTTCTGAAGATTTTGGCATCCCCACACCCTGTCACCATGTTCCTGTGTCTTTCCCCATGAAGGTTTCAGGCACACAGAAAGAGTTTTCCAGCCTTATTTGAAGGGAGGCCAAATGTCTGCTGCAGTCCCTCTGTGTCCTGATTTACAGCACCAGCCTTGATGGAACATGGCAGGGCCTTAACACCCAACTCTTTGGGAACCTTGAACGTGTGGCTGAATGAAGCCAGCAGAAGCTGACCTCCAGTGTGGACCTCTCAGAGAAGTTTGCATTTACAAGCCCCTTTCCTTGAGGATTTCACAGCATTTAAATAAATGGCTGTGTGCTTATTTGGCCTCATCGTTAGATGATTTGCATGGCTATATCGTGGTATATTAAACAAGGAGTATATCCTACCCTCAAGTTCTTGTTCTTAAGTGATTCTGTGTCTTCCTAATAACTTTTGAACACCACATACCATACATAATTGGATGTGACAACCAAACGTGAGAATTTCCCATTCTTCTGGCTTGTCTGTTTATTTTGATGGACAGGTAGGGGATGGAAGAGGGCCAGCAGCTTAAAAAAACAAAAAACCAAACAGGTATCCAGCTACTGAAGTATCAAGCAATCCCTTTTCCCAAAATCAAAATACATACATTGTGTAGATTAAAGACTGGTTTCTGGTGTAAATGAAGAAAAGAACTAGGGGTTCCTTAAAATTCTCTGAAATACCTTCAGAGGGGTCTTTCTCAACTTGTACCTACAGTTGTGTAATAGAAGCTAATGGCTATCAATTACTATCTGTGTGTTAATAACACTCATTTTCTTCCCTTCTCTCTATTCCTGGTGTGTAGCTACTTGGTTGCTTTTCTCCCTGTCTCCTACCCACACCTTCCTGGCTGAACTTGCTGATTTCATGTCAGTGCACAAGTTGCTGCTTAATGGGAACATATATATTGCTTGATTTGGCTCTTCACTATTACAATACTCTTTTCTTAGTTATAGATATCCTAGGTGACTTTAGGTCACCAAAGTCATGCCTTCATCAGGTCCCCTGTCTTAAATGTTAGGTTGTACTGAGTCCAGTAGGTCGCTGACCTAGCTCAGCTTGTTATTTGACAGCTTCTCTATTCCTCCCACAGTTCTGTGCATTCCTTGGCTCCTGGCTGGTCCCCTTTGCCTACCTCACTGTACTGGATCTGTCCAAGTCCCTCTCGGCAGCACTGCTCACAGCTGCCCTCCTCACCTTTGGTAAGTTGTCTTAGCCATACCATGGCTTTTGGGAAATGGGCTGCCACTCCGTGAATGTAGCTGAAAATCAGTACATTCAAGGGCCCTATATGTGGGTCCAGTTCAATTAATTTTAGGATTGGGTAAAATGTACTACAAATCTCATTCACTAGTAATACTTAATGTATATCAATAGTTATATATAACAAGCCTTTATATTATTGGAGGGGAGAATCGGCGTGGGTAATCCCAAGGAATAGATTTACCTCCACGTTATTCACGGTTGAGTTTGGAATGGGTAATAAGATAGATTTGTATGTGAGTATGTGTGTTTTTGAAGGAAGCTTATAATTCTAATTTTGCTTCTCTTAAGTTAAGATTAGTTTGCATTCCTTAACTAATTTCAACTGAATATAAAGGTAAATGCAGAAGTAGCTGGGTGGCAAGAGATAGCAAAATGGGAACTTGGATAATAATCTTCACATGGATAAATGAGAGTTCATCGTAGAAGTTGATCCTGTTGCTAGCTTTGTTCCTATGAAAGTGAATTCATGACCTTGTGGAGCTTAACATTTAAAGAAGTCTAGACCAATTTAAATGGGGTACTTTAGGGGTTTGCTTTGACAGATATGTTGCTTTGTTTTGACAGATAGATTGCAAGATTATTGGCTTTCTCTATAGAGGACTGGTGGCTTTTTCCTTGTATCTTGAATTTCCATCTTCAGTTATTCATTCATTTAGTCATTTATGTACTTTTCATTCAATAGTTATTTCTCAAGCACCTACCCAGCTCCCGGCCACTTTTCTTAGTCTGAGAGGATACACTGATGAGTCACTCTGGTCTCATTGAGCTTACCTCATCGTGGGGCAGACAGTAAATAAACAAGTAAATGAATAAGTCTGTCATGTGATGTCCTAAGCCACAAGTGCAGTGTAGAAAATAAAGCAGTGTAAGGGATGGAATAATGGAGATCAGTACTATTTTAGACAGGATAGTCAGGAAAGAGCTTCTGAGAGGGGAGCTTTGAGCAGAGACCTGAGTGAGACAAAGGATCAGGCCCTGCAGGGATCTGAGGGAAGAGCATTCAGGCAGAGGGAAGTGCATGTACTGTAGTTCTGGTGTGGACCTCTGTGGGTTCAAATCACAGTAAGAAGGCTGGCGTGGAAAGGGCAGAGTGAGTGAGGCAGAGGGTGTTGGGAGATGAGGTTAGATGGGTAGGGAGACCGCACAGACTCTGGCAGTTGTCATGAGAACTTTTTACTTTGAGTGAGGTTGGAAGACATTGGAGGGTTTAAGCAGGGGCATGACATAATGAGATTTAAGGATTTAAATTAAAAAACATCACTCTGCCATCTGTCTGGAGAATCGACCCCCAAGAGAGACTTCATGTAAAATGATAAGATTCTATCATAGGTGTAGATAGTTTGCGGTTACATGAGCAGAGTGGTAGGACTCCCTTTTTGATGGTGGAAATGAGGATGACACCTTGTCTCAGGGCTGGTCTGAGGGAGCGAATGACATGATCCTCTCTTGGGTTGAGGGCCTAGAGGCAGTGTGAGTTACTGCTTCTTGTCATTGGGCTTTGATGTCTCCCAGAGCTGTGGCCTTCTACCTCCCTGATGACTCAGTGTTGACTCTAGTCCTGACTGCACAAGTGCTTACACTCAATTAAGTGGCAAGAGGGACTGTTTCCTACTACTGGGGTGCTTGGTTTTCAGGGGGCCCTTCTCTTACCTCGCTTTTTCACCAGCGAGCTCATGTTTTTCAGACACGGGATGCCTCACTCTGTCCCAGTACATCCTCCTTGACCCCATCCTGATGTTCTTCATCATGGCTGCCATGCTGAGCATGGTCAAGTACAACTCTTGCGCCGACAGGTCAGAAACTCCATCCCCGGGAGGGGAGGGTTGGAAGCTGTGGCAACTCCAAAATTTCTGTAATGGCCAGGGCCAGGGCGGGTGCCCAGAGACTTGTCTTGAAGCTGATTTTAAGGCAAGCATACTTTTTGTTTGTTTTTTTAACTTAGATTGTCCATTTTAGATCATAAAAATAGATTTTAAAAAGTTTTCTACAGGTGATTTTATTTTTGCCATATTCAAGACCGAGAAAATGTCAGTTGTCTTTTTCAAGCGTATTATTATTATCATGTTTACAATGGAGTACAATTGGGTAGGGGTTTTGGGATATCATGGGGGGTCCTAATACTTTCCCCACCCACCTCTTGTAACCAGTGCTGGTTAGGAAATCCCGGGACAGGGCTGTCCTTCACATACTCTGTCCTAGAAGGGAGGGCACCAGGGTAGATGCTGCCTGGAAACTATCTCCCTTTCGTCAGTGGTTGCATCCAGTCCTGACCTAATGATGGGAATAGCATATGTAAAGGTTGGCTTGAATGGTCCATACCAGCCAAGAGGATCCTTCCAGGTCCTGGTCAGTTCTAAAGCTGACTTGGAGGGTCCGGTCTACTTGCAGAATAGTCTTTTCCAGATCATCCTTCTACTTCTGAGAAAGTAGAATAAGTCATTCATTCTATTCAAACCAGAAGAGTTGGCCCCTCGTAGGCTTTTCTGGAAGTTAACTTTGCACAGCCAGGCTCATTAAGCTCCATTGTGCTAATCAAACCTGATCAGTGACTCTCAGCCCACTCTGGCTTTGGTTGTTGTGCTTATGCCACATCCACTTCCATCTACCATTTCTTGAGTACATACTGTGTACCAGGTACTATGCGGGGAGCTGGAGGTACTGAGCTCTGTTGGGCTTGGCTGTTAAGGAATATTCACTCTGGCAGAGGAGGCAGCCAGAGAGCCAGAGAATCATAGTGTAGAGTACTAGGTGCTATACGAATAGCAAAATGGTTAAGAGCACTAACATTGACCCAATTGCCTGGGTTAAAACTGTGCCCCACTGCCTGCTAGCTGTATTACTCCACCTCTCTGTATCTTGATTTCCTCCTGTGCAAAAAGAGGACCTAGTGACAGGATCCTCTGTGTGCTGTAGTGACGGCTAGAAGAGTTAATATATGCATCGTACTTGGAATGATGCGTGACGCATACATAGTAAGCACTCGGTAAATGCTGCCTTCGACAAGGGCAGAGGTGACACAAAGGAGAGGGCTGCCTGAGTCCAGGGGCACCTAAGGATTCTCCTTTTACTCCTGCCTGACTGGTCACTTGTGAAGAAGGAGCCCCCACTTACCCTGAGCCCTGTACTTAGCCAGGAGCACTATGGACACTCTCCCCTGAAGAATACCCTGCGCCCTCAGACAGTGCTTTTCCTGCCGTTCCAGGGGTTTCACAGGCCGCCTCCTCCATGGAGCCACGCCATGGTCCCTTGAGGCTAAGAGCCCCCAAGACAGGGCACAGCACAGCCGCTCCAAGTCTGAGAACTGCCCTGTCCCCTGCTGCGCTTGCGTTTGGCTTTGGTTCCAGCTGCCAAATTGAACTCCGTCTTGTTGATTTTCAGGCCCTTCTCTGCCCCCTGGTGGTTCTGGCTCAGCCTGACTGGCGTTAGTCTTGCTGGTGCTTTAGGGGTCAAGTTTGTTGGCCTCTTTATCATCCTTCAAGTGGGGCTGAACACCATTGCAGACCTTTGGTACCTGTTCGGAGACCTCAGTCTTTCATTGGTGAGCACCCAAGGGTTTGCTGTGGAAATGTTTTTGCTCCCTGATGTTGCTGAGTAGGAGCTGGTGGCCTTCTCTGTCTCTACTGCAGGTGGCAGAGTGGCTGTGTTCTGGGTCCCAGGTGGGCTGGACCCCCCAACCTCCGCAGACAGCAGGACATCAGGGAGTGGGCCCGGCTGAGGACTGGATAGGGTTCAAGGGAGAGGATAGATTAACATTCTTGGAAGTCTCTTTTTGCATTTGTTTTATAATGTCTGTCTTTTTTTTTTTTTTGAGATAGAGTTTCACTCTGTTACCCAGGCTGGAGTGCAGTGGGCCGATCTTGGCTCACTGCAACTTCCGCCTCCTGGGTACGAGTGATTCTTTTGCCTCAGCCTCCCAAGTAGCTGGGATTACAGGCACATACCACCATGCCCAGCTAATTTTTGTAGTTTTAGTAGAGATGCGGTTCTACCATGTTGGCCAGATTGTTCTCAAACCCCTGACCTCAAGTGATCCGCCCGCCTTGGCCTCCCAAAGTGCGGGGATTACAGGCATGAGCCACCGAGCCCGGTCTGAACTCACAATTTTCATTTCCTGACCCACGGTCTCCATATTTGGAGGCCAGTAAGGGCCTTTACAGTTTATTATTTATTAAGGGCTGATTCTATGCCAGGCACTATGCGAAACGCTTTACCTTCATTATCTCATTTACCCCTCATAATAGTCCTATGAGGTAGGGAGTTATTACCCTGATTTTCAAATGAGGAAATCAAAACCTACAGAGGTAATGACTTCCCCGAGGCCATCGGGGAGTGAGAGGTGTATCTAGGAGTCACAACCAGGTTAGGTTGGCCCCAGGCCATCACTCTGCTGTGGTGCTGCTCCATCACCTCCAAACCAGCTCCTAACAAGTTTATTCATTCATTCATTCATTTATTCAGAAAATGTGTAAAGATCATCCAGCCACTGTGTGTGAGGTGCTGGAATATACAGATGAATATAATATGGTCCCCACCCTCTGTGGTCAATGGAGAGAGAGAAATAAGGAAGCAGGCAGTTACAGTCAGCCAGGAGTGCTGGGAGAGCACAGAAAAGGGCACTCGGCCAGTCCCAGGCAATCCAGGAAGGCCTCTGGAAGGAAGCCGCGAAGTTAAGATAAGGAGCCATTAGCCATGTGATGGGTTGGGCTGGGACAGTAGAGGAAGCACTGGGAAAGTTCAAGGAGGTTAGTGTACCTGGAACATGGAGCGGACTGGTGAGCAACTGTGTTGCAGATGCAGGTGCCTTGTCCTTGGCACAGTAACATCCTGGGGTTTTGGGTGTAGAGCCTGGAGAGGTAGCAGAGGGCTGGCCCATGTTTATCTTGTGTAGTGCTTGGGTGGTGGGTGTTACAGAAAGGCTTAGGGTTTCCACATATTCTTCTCTCTCCTCTTGGCCATTTTTTATGATTATGACTGATATATTAAAAGCTATATATAATGCATGCATAGTGCCTAAGGAATAATGAGGTCTCACATGCCTAGCACCCCACGCTGGCCTCTGTTTGCAGGTGACTGTGGGAAAACACCTGACTGCTCGTGTCCTGTGCCTCATAGTGCTGCCCCTGGCTCTCTATACAGCCACCTTTGCTGTTCACTTCATGGTGCTGAGTAAAAGGTACAGACAGAGCCTTTGCAGCATCTTGCTTCTGGTTTTCCTTTTGCTCCTAAGCCTGTGGAGGGGTCGGATGATTTTCTGGGTCTGTGGTTAAAATGATAGGTGAGGGACCCCAGGGGCTTTTTCCTGTTTCTTTCCTGCTATGTTCTATCCTTTGGGTATATGCTAAGGGCTCAGAAAGGCCAGCACCCTAACCTGAAGGAAGAAGCTATTTTCGTTATAGCCAAATTGTCCCTTATCTCTAAACAGAGTCCCCTGTACTTAGCAAGGATAGGCCACAATAAGATGTGCAGTAGGAGTGAGTGTAACAATAACAGTAACTCCGGCGGCAACAGCTCCCACTTAATGAGTAGCTACTGAGAATCAGGAACTGTGTTCCGCATTTTGTACACATTATCTCATTTAATCAGAATCACTTGTGACTTCTCTTGGTTTCTTTAAATCTCTAGTTTATAAATGAGGAACTAAGGCTAAACAAGGTTATCTTGCCCAAGGTCGCACAGCTAGTAAGTGGCTGAGTTGGGATTTGGACCCCAGTTTCTCCAACTCCATCACCCACCTCTGTCCCATGATCTGATTCTACTTTCCTTAAACTATCTGAGCAGAGCTCTTCCCAGCGCTCCTGGGAAATCACACTTTCACTCCTTTAACTTGACTCTCTTCTGCTCTTCCTCTCCCCACAGTGGCCCTGGTGACGGTTTCTTCAGTTCTGCCTTCCAGGCCCGGCTTTCAGGGAACAACCTGCACAATGCTTCCATCCCTGAACGTGAGTGTCTCTGGGCCATTACAAAGGTAGAAGGCAGAGGGGTGTCCTGGGAGTTGAATTGGAAAAGACAAATATGATGGCTTTGGGTTATTTTAGCCTGTGATGGCACGGTGGGAGAAAGACCCAGATAGATCTGGTGAAAATACTCGAGAGTGAATCAGGACAGAGGAGAGGAAGACATCCTGAGCAGCAAGCTCTCTGACCCTAAAGAATGACTTCTCCTTGGTGGCTCTCCAAGCCAGCTCTGTGGGAAGGTCACTCAGAGAGAATATGGTGACAGCACCAGGCCCTTCAGAGCCAGTTTTTGGTTTCCCGCACCGCTTTCTGAGTGTTGCATTCGTTCATCTATGACAGATGGTAGTGGAGCGCGTGCTCACCCTCCAGAGATGGAGCCTGGTGTAGAGGAGCTCCACACGGTGTGGCTGGAAGCGTTAAGTACGTAAAGAGGGAGCACAGCTCTGGGGATTGACAGGCGTGAAGGAGCATGGCTGCTGGGCGGTTAAGGGCATCAGAGGTTCGTGATGTGGGTTGCCTTGGAGTCAGGCCCTGGAAGAATGTGTGGCTTTCAACAGAGGAGAGGGCATCTCAGGCAGGAGGGATGACATGATCAAAGCTGAGGACAGAGTAAAACTTGAGGCACAGGTATATGCAGAAAACTACTGGAAGATAAATGTGAAAAGTTAGGTTGGGCCCAGACTATGAGGGTTTGAGGTGTCTGGATGAGGTATTTGACTTCCTAAAACAGGCCGTGGAGACCTAGTGGAGGTCTTTGAGCAGCCAGGAGGCCAGGAAGGCTGTGCTATAGGGAGATGACATGGGTGGGAGAGTCGAGGCTGGCTGGGGAGGGGACAGGATTGTAGGCAAGAGAAACCCTCTGGGAAGCTATTGCAGGAACCTGAGCTGGGTATGGTGGGGCAGCCACAGGGTAAGGCAAATGGGCATATACAAGGGAGATCTGGACACAGCAAGAGAGGAAGAAAGATGTCACTAAGGACTTGAGTGCAGGTGATTGCTTCCTGGAGGCAGAGACTGCATCTTACTCATTTTAGTCTTTCCAGGACTTTGCACAGTGCCTAAAATACAGCGGACTCTCCCAGACTGGGAAGAATGAGAAATAGGGAAGCAGGAGAAGAAGTTGGGTTGGAAGGGCAGATACTGAATTCCACGCGAGAGGGGTTGATAGTGAGCTGCTTGGGGAAATTGTTGCCATGGGGCCAGTGGGATTTGGGGCTGATGCTTTCAAAGGAGGAATCAGACAAGTAAAACGGTAATTGATGCTGTGGCAGTAGCTGTGATTTGTAAGGAAACTGTAGAAAGAGGAAAAGAATAGAGCTGAGGTCAGATCACTGGGGAATGCAAGAGGAGGAGGAATTAGGAGAGGAGACTGCGGAGGAGCAGCCCTTGAGAGAGTGTGCGGTCGAGAAGTGGGAACAGAGAGCATTTCAAGAAATAAAGGTGGTCAGCCATGTGCAGGGCTGCCGAGGTTGGCCTGCCTGAGAACTCAGAAGAACACAGCTGTGGAGTTTAGCAAATTCCTGCTCATTATTTAAAGGCCTAGTTCAGCTGTCACCTCTTCGATCAAGTCGTCCTCTCTTTAATCCTTGGGAGAGAATTTGGCCTGTTCCGAGTTCCCACCATTCCCACCATGTCACACATTGTCACGCCTTTGTGGGGCACTTGCCCACTGTCCTATACTTGTCAGTGTGTGAAGCCATCTTCCTTGTAGACAGGGCTCTTCCAGGGCCACAGGCAGGCCTCCTCCACCTTTGGATCCAGTGTGTAATTCTTCTGGTCCACTGAATGAACAAAGAAAAACAGGAGCAGGTCATTCCAGCGGATTGGAAGAAGGACAGTATTAAGGAAAAAAGGTTTCTCAATAACTCAGGGCCTATAGGAGCAGGGGATGCTCTTGAGAAGTGGTTTTCTGTGTTTTTTGTTTTTTAATTCAGAGTAAAACAAAACACCATTGAACAGTTATTTCATATGGTACTAGATTCAAAAGGCACGAAAGGATATAGAGTGAAAAAAATGGTTTGTCAAAATGCTGTATCTTGGAGAACATTCCAGGCGAAGACAGAAGATACTTCCTTCTTTATTCCATTGAATCCATGTGGAGACCTTGAGAAGGACAAGTTGTTTTTCGTCTTTTGCTGTTACACGTAGTGCTTTGATAATGACAGTGTTAACACAAGCTTCTTCTGAAGCCCTCAGGAGGCGGGGGAGTAAGTGGGCCCTGTGGTGAACTCTGTCTTGAGTCGGCTCCATGGGAGTGAGAAGGTAGCTGGGCTTCAGTCCAGGGCCCAGGGGAGTCTCGCAGAGGGTTAGTGAGCCCTGTGGCTTCCGAGGCTCCTCGCAGGCACGGACAGCCTCTGGCACTGTGCCAGCTCACCCCTCTGCTGTCTCCCTTCCTCCCAGACCTGGCCTACGGCTCTGTGATCACTGTGAAGAACCTCCGGATGGCCATCGGCTATCTGCACTCCCACAGGCACCTCTACCCCGAGGGCATTGGTGCCCGTCAGCAGCAGGTCAGTGAGCCTTTTGTGCACTTGTACGGCAGCAATGCTGTTCGCCATGACAGTTCACTCTCTTGCCTCCTATCCTTTGCTCATCCTGTTCGCCCTGCTTGAAACATTCTTCCTAGCCCTGCACCCTTCTGTTTTCTCTGGCTAACCCCAGCTTCTCTAGGCATCAGCATAGGTGTTCTTTAGTGACAACCATGTCCCACCTCTCCATGGTGCTGGGTGGGGTGCCCCTCTGATGAGAGGCTTGGTGGCACCTTCCACATGCCTACGTGGTAAACCTTCTCATATTGAACTGTGCATGCTTACTTCCCGCCGTCTCTTTGGTACTTGATTGCTAGCTCCTGGAAGGCTCAATTGCCTAGCACGGTGCCTGCTATGGGATGGGTGATGAATAAAGTGTGGTATTTATGAACACAGACCTGGGAACCAGACTAGATGATCGGGGTGTGAAGCCTGCTTTCATATAGAGTGTCACTTTGGACAAGTTCATCTTCTTGTGCTTCAGTATCCTCTTCTTTTTTTTTTTTTTTTTTTTGAGATGGAGTCTTGCTCTGTCACCCAGGCTGGAGTGCAGTGGCGTGATCTCAGCTTACTGCAAACTCCGCCTCCCGGGTTCACGCCATTCTCCTGCCTCAGCCTCCCGAGTAGCTGGGACTACAGGCACCCGCCACCACGCCTGGCTAATTTTTCGTATTTTTAGTAGAGACAGGGTTTCACCGTGTTAGCCAGGATAGTCTCGATCTCCTGACCTCATGATCCACCTGCCTCGGCCTCCCAAAGTGCTGGGATTACAGGCATGAGCCACCGCGCCCAGCCTGTATCCTCCTCTTTAAGTTGGGGAAAATGAGTAGTACCTCTCTCCATCAAAGGGCAGTTGTGAGGATTAAATGAGATAACAATGTGAAGTGCTTATGAAAGATTAGCCATGTGAGTATCATCTGAATGAGTGAACGATGCTGTGTCCATGTTAAGGAGTGTTTGTGTGGCTGCAGTGGATGGTGCCTGAGAGGGAGAAGCAGGATGCTGAAGAGGTTGGTGGGGCCATATTGGGGAGAGGCCTGTGTTATAGTAGATTTGACTTTGCTCCATAGACATTAGGGAGGCAATCAAAATTATTATGATTATGATTAGATCTCTAGTTTAGAAAGGTAACTTTAGTGGAAATGTGATAGCTCACAAGGAACCAGTTTGGAGGCAATAATTATGACAAAGGACAGTGAACAGAGGCAAAAAGCATGGAATCTTTACTTTGCAAAGATTTGTTCTTTGCAAAAAGTTGTCTCTCTCCAAATGCTTTATTTTTATTTCCCTTTTAGTTGCTAGAAAGTGACTCAGTATGTATTAGTGCAATTTCATGCTGCTGATAAAGACATACCTGAGACTGGGCAATTTACAAAAGAAAGAGATTTAATTGGACTTAAAGTTCCACATGGCTGGGGAGGCCTCACAACCCCGGTGGAAGGCAAGGAGGAGCAAGTCACATTTTATGTGGATGGCGGCAGGCAAAGAGAGAGCTTGTGCAGAGAAAATCCCATTTTAAAAATGGTTTTAAAAACCATCAGATCTCTGGCCAGGTGCGGTGGCTTATGCCGAGGTGGGCGGATCACTTTAGGTCAGGAGTTTGAGACCAGCCTGGCCAACATGGTGAAACCCCATCTCTACTAAAAATACAAAAAAATTACTCGGGCTTGATGGCACGTGCCAGTAATCCCAGCCACTCAGGAGACTGAGGCAGGAGAATCACTTGAACCGGGGAGGTGGAGGTTGCAGTGAACTGAGATTGCGCCACTGTACTCCAGCCCAGGCAAAAGAGTGAGACTCCATCTCAAAAAATAAAAAAATAAAACCATCAGATCTTGTGAGACCCATTCACTCGTGACTCAATCATCTCCCACCGGGTCCCTCCCACAACACGTGGGAATTAGAGGAGCCACAAGATGAGAATTGGGTGGGGACATAAAGCCAAACCATATTACAGGGTATTGGATTTTAGTATCAGTTTCTTATCCTTAATTCTCCATTCATGTCTGGCCCAGTGGTTTTCAGCCCTGGCTGCACTTAGAATCAACGGAGAGATTTTTAAAAATTCTGATGCCTGGACTCCACTGCAGAGATTATGATTTAATTGATCTAGGATGAGGCCCATGCATTATGCATTTTTGGTTTGGTTTTAAGCTGTCCAAATTATTCTAAGTCATGTACACCCAGGGCAGAGAAAACTAGATGTTCTGTGTTCTCATGTGTTGATAAATTGCTGCAGGTGTCATGTAGAAGACACTACAGTTACAGACCTGGTGACCAGAACATCTACACTGTGCAAAGGGAGAGAAAGGCCAAACTCTGAAAGGCTCTGTTAAGCTAGTGTTATGTACGTAGAGCCCATGTGTGGAGGTGTGAAACGTGATGGTGGTATAGGGAAAGTGCATTGCGCCAAGGGACGAAAGTGTCTGGCTTTGTCATTGACCAGATCTTTTAGCCTTTCATCCTGTTTCCTCATCTGTAAATTGAGGGGATTGGACTAAATAATCTCCAGTGGCCCTTCCTGCCATGCAGTTTAATGTCTTGTTAACATGTCTAGGTCTCTATTTTAGAATGTTTTTAAAGCATAGCATTTATAAAATTGGAAAATGTAGAAAAGTATAAAAAAGAAAACAAAAGCTACATGTAATCCCAGAAGATTAAGTGTTTATCTGAATGTTTTAATGTACAACATTCTGCTATAATTGGATACTTGTGTTCTTAGGAAATCTCATGGTATAAAAATCTCCATTGTCAAAACAAACATTTCAGTGGGAAAAGGGGCCATGGACTGTACTCATGATAAATAAATAATTTTTCTTGTAGGAATTTTAATCATAATTGCTCTTGTAAAACAGACACACAAAGACTGCTCTCCTACCACACATCTACACAGAGTACACACACGAGCATCATAGAACCTTAACTTCCTTGAGCAAATCCAGGCTGGATGGACGATATCGAGCTTTTTCTCAGGAATGTAGACTTCATTTTAATTTCTTTATGAGCACCAAAACTTTTTAGCTTCTTGTATATTCTTAATAACATTATCCCTAATTTTTTTTTCCTGAGGAACAAAGCAAATACCACTCAAAAGAAGCAGCCATAATGCAAGCAAAATAATTTTTCCCCTAAATGCTAATTCTAAATCTCTTTGTAAGTACAGTCATGCATCGGGGGGATACCTTCTGAGAAACAGGTCATTAGGTGATTTGATCGTTGGGTGAACATCATAGTATGTACTTACACAAACCTAGGTGGTCCAGCCTACCACACACCTAAGCTACATGGTATAGCTGATTGCTCCTAGACTACAAACCTGTATAGCATGTTACTGTACTGAATACTGCAGGCAGTTGGAACACAGTGGAACACAATGGTAAGTATTTGTATTAACTTAAACATATCTAAACATGGAAATGGTATAGTAAAAATATGGTATTATAATCTTATGGGGCAACCATTATATATGCAGTTTGTTGTTGACCAAAATGTCTTTATGTGGCATATGACTATAAATTGGTCATATTTTATCCAATTGGGGTTATAAAAACTCATTTGTGAGAGTTCTCTACTTGTCTACATAATTGGCATAATTGGACGTATATAGTCTCTATCCTGGGAGCATTTATTTTGCGGC
Organism: Homo sapiens; assembly: GCF_000001405.40. Taxonomy (NCBI): domain Eukaryota; kingdom Metazoa; phylum Chordata; class Mammalia; order Primates; family Hominidae; genus Homo; species Homo sapiens. Next base: position 77,292,508 of record NC_000014.9, on the reverse strand, counting down.
CCTGGTTTGAATTCTGTCTCCCCAACGCATAAGCTGTGTGACCTTGAGCAAATTACTTAACTTCAGTTTCCTTGTAAGTAATGTGGGGATAACCATAGTACCTATGGCATAGAGCTGTAATAATGGTTAAATGAGATAAGACTTGCCCAATGCTTAGAACAGTGCCTGGTAATAAATGGTAGCCATTTTCAGCATCAGCATTTCATGAGCCTTTTCCCATGTTGCTAAAAAAATGCTCTGAAACATTTTTTATGGCTGTATAATATTCTATCCCAGGACATACTATCATGTTAACTATTTTTCTATTACTAGACAGTCATACTGTTTCCAGATTTTTTGTATAAAACGTGAGTTAAATTCTAGGACAGGATATCTGTGGAGCTTTTTCGTTTCATTTGGCCACATTATAGAAAATATAATAGCATGAATTTTTCATTTAGAAAGTTTGAGGCATGATCTTAATTACTTTTTTTTTTCCCAAGATAGAGTCTTGCTCTGTTGCCCAGGCTGTAGTGCAGTGGCGCGATCTCAGCTCACTGCAACCTCTGCCTCCTAGGTTCAAGCGATTCTCCTGCCTTAGCCTCCTGAGTAGTTGGGATTACAGGCGCGTACCATGCCCGGCTAATTTTTGTATTTTTAGTAAAGACGGGGTTTCACCGTGTTGGCCAGGCTGATCTCAAACTCCTGACCTCAGGTGATCCGCCCACTCTGGCTTCCCAAAGTGCTGGGATTACAGGCATGAGCCACCACACCCGGCCTTAATTACTTTGAAAATGCACTTAAATCCTCATTCTGTTTTTGTGTTGGAGTCAGTTATATAAGGCCTCATGGTTCCTCCCTCTAGAAGGCTGGATGGAACTTTTAGGACAAGATGCAGAAAGATACAAAGAAACAAAAAGGCTCTTGTGGGACAAAGCTTCTAAATGCAGAAGGAAGGAGAGAATCTCACTCACCAGTGCTACATATGAGCCCCATTGGGAAACATGGCCCCTCAGGTTGGTGGCTGGGGATTCTGAAATTGGCTTAAGCAACATTGGTTTGAGGTTGATTGTCCTTGGCCAGCTGTGCTGATAGTGATGGTATTCTCCCTCCTGCTTCCTCTTCCCTCCGCCCCCACCCCCCACCCAGGTCACCACCTATTTGCACAAGGACTACAACAACCTGTGGATTATCAAGAAACATAACACAAACTCAGGTAATGTGGTCAGAGACTGATGCTTCTTGTGCTGTTACTCCCTCTGAGCCCTCCTTAAGATTTCTCATGCCTGCAAAAGAATGATCCTGAGATGGGCTTTGCTGAGCATCTTTGACACCTTTACTTATCTCAATTATCCTTTCAATTATTATTTATTAAGCACCTACTGTGTTCCAAGCACTGTTGTTGGCATAGGGGATAAGCATTGAGCAAAACAGGTAAGAACTTGCTCTTAGAGCTGTCATTTTGAAGACAGATAGCGGAGCCCAGATTTAATCTAAGTAGAGGTTACTTGAGCATGCCACTAGGGGCTGGTGAGTGGCCCCAGCTGAGGGCACCTGGCTGCTGCTCTCATTTCTTACATAGAGCACACCAAACATTGCACACTCTAGCATGTGGTGCAGCTTAAGTCGTCTTGATAAGATAGAATCCTGCCCACTGCTCAGCCCTGGCCTGAGTCAGTCAGTTGATCTGAGGGGCTACTAGTCCTGTGACTGGAATTTGTCTAGGCTAATTCCTGAGATGTGACTCGATGCCTGCTGATCTGCTTCTAACTGGCCTGGGTGAAGGCGCTCTGAAGCACACCTATCAGGCTCTCAGGGCTTTATGACAGAGCAAGAGCTAGAGCCAGATCTTCCTTTCTTTGGTCAGACAGCTAGCTACCTGCAGGCTGTGCCTCTGCTGCAGCTAAGAGAACAGAGGGCATCTTCCACTCACCTTCCGAGCCTGTCATCTCTGCTGACAGTCCTGTGCCACAGGTATCTCTGTGACTCCTCAGCAAATCCCACCTGGCTTAGCCTATCCCAGCTCAGCTGCTCCTAGGCCTTTGTAGAGAAATGGGCAGCTGCTCACCTAAATCCACCTCCTCTTATTGCTGTGTAGGCTAGAAACGTGGCGTATACAACCACTTTCTACATCCTGCTCCTTAGTGGGATAAATTACGACACCATTGGGCAGAGTCTGTTTCTATACTTTTATAATGGATATTGATTGATTCAGCAGGCCAAACGTGAGTGTTCTATCACAGTGAGGAGTTACGAGGGAAGACCAGTTTTACTTCCGTCATGTGGTCATGAACCAAGTCTTTGAACATTCCTAGTCTGTTATTCCATTGTGACTTCTGAGTTAAGATGGTTGCATTTCATCGAAGTGATTAAGGATTTTGTGGGAGCTTTATAGACTAGGGTCTTTGTGTTCTTGAAGGCTATAAATGCCCCTCCCCACCAAATGCATATGAAATAAAACCTCCCTCCCTATTGACTTAGTTGATTTGTCATCTTGCTAATTAATGCTTTTAAGAGACCCTAACAGGCAGCATGGAAATGGGTGTCTCTGCGGTTGAGTTCTCTGATTCTCTTGAGAGCCAGTGATTTGCACTGGCAAATTTATCTTTCCTGACCTTGATCAATTTATAGTGTGTTGGTATCTCACTGTTTGGGACAGAAATTTGCAAGGATCCATTCTGTGTTGCTATGATTACTGCCAGCTCCTTTTCCATGTCATCACCTTTCTAGATCCTGATTGGTCTTGATTTTGAGATGATACAGAAGTAGTCCTTTAATCATTTCATCATTATTCACCTCACATTTAGCAAGTTTATTGCCAGAGACAAGATACTCGCTGGCAAGATTGTCAGGGTTTATTTGATTTTGAGGAGAGTTGGGCAAGTGGTCATTTGTATGGAATTACTTTTTAGAAGGCTGTTATTACTACTAAAGTCTTACTATTTAGCTTCCCAGCTTAAGCTCCAGTGGGGGCTTCAGTGCCTCATCGGGTAAAGGCCACATTCCAGCCTGGAATATGCAGTCTGGCCACACTCGTTCATAGCCTCATCTGTTCCCACTCTCCCCCACCCCACCCACCCTTACAGTATGAAACCCATTTGCTATTCATCGAAGGAGTTTTTCTTCTTCTTTTTTTTTGGAGACAGAGTCTTGCTCTGTCACCCAGGCTGGAATGCAGTGGCGCAATCTCGGCTTACTGCAACCTCCGCCTCCCGGGTTCAAGCGATTCTCCTGCCTCAGCCTCTCGAGTAGCTGGGACTACAGGCGTGCACCACCACGCCCGGCTATTATTTGTATTTTTAGTAGAGATGGGGTTTCACCATGTTGGCCAGGCTTGTCTCGAATTCCTGGCCTCAGGTGTTCTGCCCGCCTCGGTCTCCCAAAGGGCTAGGATTACAGGCGTGAGCCACTGTGCCCGGCCAGAAGTTTTCTTCTTTCACACTTCTAGTGCCTTTCTCCTGCTTGTTCACCTGACAAAATTCTCCCTTTCCCTTAAGAGTCTTTTCGAGCATTATCTCTGGGACACCCTTCTCTAATACCCTGAAGCAATTTAGGGGTCTTTCCTCTTTGGTCTCAGAGTACCTGGTTAGTACCTCTAGCAGATACCACATGGTACTATAACTGTTTACCAGTAGGCCCTTGATTAATACTAGCCTGGTGAGTGATTTTGGATATCAATGCTTGTTTCTTTTTGGCAGATCCCCTAGACCCTTCCTTCCCAGTGGAGTTTGTAAGACATGGAGACATTATTCGACTAGAACACAAAGAGTAAGTCAATTTGCAGTTTGGATAAATAAATGGTACGGGCACCAAGGGGAGGGAGTTATTTTAAGAAGTAAACAGAAGTTAGATTTTGATGAGGCTCTGGTCAATGGAGCAAGGCCACAGTGCGAGAATGGGAGAAGCATTTTATGAAGGTGATGAAATTGCAGGCCAGCCTTTGCCTGCCTTCTGGGGACCTTTCAATTTCCCATTTCCTAGAGGAAAATTTGAGTTGCTGAAAGCTGCTGCTGCTGTTTTTTTTTGAGACAGAGTCTCACTATGTTACCCAGGCTGGCCTCAGAGTCCTGGGCTCAAGCGATCCTCCCGCTTCAGCCTCCCAAATGGTTGCTATTACAGGCATGAGCCATCACACCCAGCTCCCAAAGCTTCTTCTTAAGTGGCTGCCTTTAGAAAGACGTAGGAGTCTGTTTCTGAGAATATGGCAAGCTAGCTTATTTAACCAGTGTTCTCACTGAAAATGACTAAAAATGCTGGAATAATATAAAGACTTCTTAAGAGCATAAAAAGGCTGACAAGATATTAAAGAGTTACCAGGCCAAAGCCTAAGTGAAATGAGGAATCCAGAGAAATAAGTGAGACACTGAAGCCACTTTTGCTTTGATCCCACAATCTTGACTTTTGGCTGTCTCTTGAGAGAAGAGGTTTTAAAGTCAAACCTAGGCTCACCCAAAGTGGTAAATTTATTAAGTTATCCTTCCCCATATTTGGAACCCCCAAAGGCTTGGGGTAAGGGTAAATCTGCCCTATCCACTTATGCCCAGGTCCACTTTAGGACCCAGCTAAGTGTTGGGGGTTGGGTGGTGAACTGTCCTTAGTTCCTGAGAAGTTGGAACTACCATTTGATCCTCACATGAACTTGGAGCTCAAATTCATGTTGCCTGGGTGATCTCAGAATCTCCAAGACATGAATTTAAATGAACATGATCCTAGATTGGTCGTGTCTCCTAGGTGCATGGCTAAAAGCAAATGTAAGCCCTCTTTGGGGAAAGTCGTTGTCATTTGTTCCCATAGTTTTTTAGTGACAATAGTACACACCCAAAAGTAACAAAGCACACAAGGAAATAGGGCACTGTGTGCAAGAACAAGCTGAAACGACAGACAGCAGGAGCAGCCCCGTAAACATTTCATAGACTGGAATTATCGGATACAAATTTTTAAAAATCAGAGGTGTGTATGTGTGTGGGTATATATATATATATATAGAGAGAGAGAGAGAGAGAGAGAGAGACAGAGACAGAGAGAGAAGCAATTAGCTATGGTTTTTTTTTGAGTCAGCTGGATTTTGAATACTTAAAATTTTTATTTTATTAAATAAATTTCATTTGTCATTAATAAAAATTTATTGTAATTAAATTTTACTTTTGCAAATTTTCAGAAATTTTATAATGAACATTTATTATTTGTTCCAGATAAAAGTGAGAGTTGTTATATAAAACTAAATAAAAGCTAAATTAAACCCCTCTCATCCTCCACAGATGTCCACTTAAAAAAATCTGGCGATGGGAGCAGAAAGAGTAAGTGGCAGTGAGGAGGTTACCTAGCTCAGGCCATGCAGATTACAAGTTTTAATTTTTCCTCTCCTCAAACCTGCCTCCTAAGTCAGGCAAGCTAAGTGCTTCAAAGCTACTAAATGTGTGAAAGTCGCCCCCCACCTCCCTGCCAGCACCTAAAGTTAGCCCCTTTCTTGGCATGCCGTCCAGTGCTCCTACCATCTGTCTCTCCTGGTTTGGGCTCATCTCTTCTCCAGTTCTCAGGATATTTCTTGTGAGTAAATAGGAAACCAGTTCCTGATATGTTGGATTTAATAGTTCAGATTCTAATTTTTCTTATCCTGACAGTTGACTCTGAACATCCTTGGTAAAAGAAGAAATGTTGCACATCATCTTTCTATAGGATAATGACACTTCTCTTTTCTAACTTCTAGAACTTCCCGGAACTTGCACAGTCACTATCATGAGGCCCCCATGACCCGGAAGCACTATCAGGTCACCGGCTATGGCATAGTAAGTAAGCAACGGGGATGTGAGTAGGACGTAAAAGTTATGGGCCTTGGCTCAGGGCTGTGTGGTGGGATATCTCCTCCCCAGAATTCTGGAATGTTCCTGAGGATAAGAGGCTGCACAGGGACTCTCTTAACATTTGGGCACTTTTTGGCTAGGCCTGCTCTGGGAAAAGCAGCCTATGAAGTCTGTTTGTCTCCATCTCTCTCCTCACATAATAACCATGCCATTTACATGCTCTGATACTTAATAAATGTCAAATATGAATACTATTTGGATCTCTTTTAAAATCACATTGGACATAGAAGCCAAGGACCCACAATATGACCCCAGATGAACAACATGTATGTTTATCTTTTGCCAGATCCCAAATTCTCATTAGCTTTATTTTTAAGTATCATTTCCCTGTTCTGCAGAGGGATATTATCCATAGCTTTTGTATTTTACTACCTCAAGGAGATGCAGCTAATAAATAAAAGCTCTATGAGTACTTATGGCTTTGGGAGTAACTGAAGACAAAAACTACTAGTGGAAAACTGTATACAGATTCTGGCCTTCAGGTGGATTTCCCAGCCCTCTTTCTGTTTGCTCATTCCACATTGTGCTAGGTCAAGACTGTGAACATTCTAATCTTCTTTGTGGGCATCTTCTGAGAAGAATTAGACATACATGTCTTAATTTCCAAAGTGCAATAGCCAGGCCAGACCTTTCTGGCTTAGATGAGTGAATACCTAGATAGCCAAGGTAATGGATGCAAATGGCCCAGATCTGTTTCTGTTGGCTCAGAGTGATGTCTTGAGTTTGGTTGAAGGGCAAAGACAGGTATTTAGAACTTGAACTCTAGTTCTATGAAGTGAAGAGTTGGACTCCTGGACTTCTGGTTCCAGGAGTCATACTACTGTTTTTTGGTTGTAATAGTGAGTTTTGGGACAATGCCAATCACCTGGGATATTTCTTTGGCCTTCTTGTAACCTTGCCCATCTCTATCATTGAGCCTAATTTGGTCTTTGACCTTCATAACATGGTGGCATCTGGGTGGCCATTTCCCTTTCTGACACGTTTTCTCTAAAGTCCCCTCACTTTCTTTGTATTTTTTTCTTGGCTTTTATGGCAGAATGGAACAGGGGACTCAAATGATTTCTGGCGGATTGAGGTCGTAAACAGGAAATTTGGAAACCGGATCAAAGTGCTGAGAAGTCGAATTCGCTTCATCCATTTGGTCACAGGTTGTGTCCTGGGCTCCTCGGGAAAGGTTCTGCCCAAGTGGTAAGTCTCTAGGGTTTTGCTGTCCCAATCGAGGGTCCTGATTTTCCTTTCACTCTACAAGGAGTATGCCAGAAGCTTTTGTTTTCCTGTGTTCACCTGCTGTCTGCTTGTTCTTAGTGGCAGATGGAGGGAGAGTAGATATCAGGTGTATTATGGAGCACAGAACTCCGGGGGAGCTTCGGTGTTTTATGTGTTCTGATAGTTCAACATTTTCACATCTGGCTGGTGCTAATAACTCTCTGGGTCTATGTCTTTTTCTAAAATGGGAATACTGTATGCTAGACTATCCTAGGATAGTTGTCCAACATGGAACATGAAGAAATAATGGCCACCATGTGGAAAAGAGAAGGAGCCTGTGGATTTAAGAGCAGAAGACAGTGTCACTCTCTGGTGGATTTCACGTCTTCTGAGAGACATCTGTGACTTCTGCTTTTCACAGGGGCTGGGAGCAGTTGGAAGTTACTTGCACCCCATACCTGAAAGAAACCCTCAACTCCATCTGGAATGTGGAGGACCATATCAATCCCAAGTGTGAGTGAGGTCACTTTCTGGGCTGGCTCTGGAGGGAAGCATTTATAAGAAACCCTTATCTTAGAAAAGTAAGCGTTTGTAAACTGTGCTATCCCTTCAACTTGCTGCTGTTTGTTCCTTGTTAACACTCTCTTTCTATGAGTTGTCTGTACCTACATAGCATACTCCTTTTCCTTCTCATCCACTCCCTCCGTAAACTCCTCTCCCTAAAGTGGCCAGTGGCCATCTGCAGATCCATCTGTCTCGTCTTCCTCTGGGCTCCTCTCTCCCCTGCACCATGGGCACCTCCCCAGCCTCCAGGCTTGGAGCAAGCTGCTACTTTCCCTTTATGCCTCAGTGTAGAGTCGCTCCCCCGCCCCCCCACATATCCAGCCAATGCTTTTATAGAAAGTGACTGCCACAGCCCTGATCTGTGCCCCACATCTCTACACCCAAGCTCCAATTTGATATTTCCACTGCGTTGTCAGCTTCAACTCAATAAGTATTTGGATTCATCATCTGTTTTCCTAAACTACCCACCTCAAGCTTATGTGTGCCTTCATTTTGTTCTTCTTCCCACCTAATCTAGCCAAACCCACTAATCAACTAATTCAACAACTCTTTATCAAGTATGCCAGGAACCACATGGGGCCCTGTGGACATATTGGCGAGGAGACAGACTTGGTCCCCATCCCGACAGCAGCTGCTCCAGGCGTCCAGAATGATTTATTCCTCATTCCCAGGCCCTTCAAAGGGCCACAGTGACTCGGGGGCTGTGCAGCTGTCCCTTATGCCTAATAGGAGAGCAGCATTTGAGCCAGTACCACAGTGAAAAGCAATGGTGCTGGGAGCTGTTGGAGCACCAAGCAGGTGAAACCTTGTTGTCTATTTCCTTTGCATTTCTTAGAATGCCTGATGAGTTCTTCATACAGCTAAGTAAATGATCAAGAATTGGGCCAAGCTTTCTTCTGTCTCCTCAACAGTTGTGAACTTGTCAGCAAGGCTGCATTTGGATTCTGGTGGGAATGTGGACACCATGGACAGACTGAGGAAAGAATGTATGACAAAGGCTTTTCTCCTGCATTTTTTTCCCCTAGTGCCAAACATCAGCCTGGATGTGCTACAGCCCAGTTTTCCTGAGATCTTGCTGGAATCCCACATGGTCATGATCCGGGTATGTGTCCCCTTCTCATTTCATGGCGTCTCTAAGAGCTTTTGGGCAGCCATGAATTTGGATCACAAGTCAATGCCATGCTACAGATCCATTCCCCCTTGTGGAGGAATTTGAAAGCATCTTTACTACGGTTTTCTGTGATCCTCAAAGGCATTTCCCTCACCACAGAATGAGGATGGTGGTGATGATGGTGATACCAGTGACTGCTTGTACAGCTCATGTGCCAGGCACTACGCTAAGCACTATACTCATCTGATACTTATTACAATCATATGGAGGTTGCCATCATTCCCAGTTACAGGAGAGGGAACTGACATACAAAGAGGTCAGGGAACTTGCCCAGGGTCACACAGCTAAGTGTAAGAGGTAGATCCAGCCCTCAGAGCCAGGCTGGTAGGCTTTTAGAGTTACTGCTAGTTACCACTACACTCCTTCACCTCTAAGTGATTTGTGAATCTGCCCAAGTGGCAGAGCCCCTGAAAATCATAGTGCTCTTGGTTGAAGATCATGAGATACTGATAGTTCATTCCATCATATGAAATCAGGATCAGTTAGGATGGATAGCTAATTTGAGTGTGTTGTTTATATGCAGCATGAAATCCCAGCCACGAGCCCACTCATATTCCTGGACAGAAACTGCTTAGGCAGGGCATGATTGATTCTTTTTAAGGTTTTCTAAGACATTGTTTGCACTCTCTATCATTAGTAGCTGACAGCAGTTGTAGCATCAAAGGTTTAAGAAAAATTCAGAGAAGAAATCTTTAAATTGAGAAAATTCTACTCACTAGCTTAAATTTTCCCCTGCTGTAGTCCTGCTGTTTAGTGGAAGACCCCCTTATTCTGGCTTATGGAAAACCTGTGTTCTGCAGGAATAATGTTTAAGAATCACTATCTCAAGCCAGATATGTGATTATCACTCTACCCACAGCATTGCAGGGAGGTGTAGCACTTGTTATTTTTCCCCTGGTAAGCCATTGTCAAGTGGACTTCCCTGGAAGTGATTATGTAAGCAGTACTCAGTACATATAGTTGACTTATTTCACCAGATTAAATTTTAAAAATTCAAATTTTGTCATTTTTGCGCATTGGGAGGTGATAAGTTGACATTAAGCATCTCTGGGTCACTTCCTTTCTGACTCTCTGCTTGTAGCTGTCACTGTGGCCTGATGACATAGCTCTTTTGAACATGTGCCTGTCAGTCAGAATATCATTCTGGGCCTGGGTCAAATTTTAAGACTAAATCTACGAGTTTCATTTTGTCTTTCATTATCTAAGAAGTAGAGTCAGAGAAGAAAAGGGAAGTAATGAGAGCTTTCTTATTCAGCCAACAAAGAGTCAGGGAGGGGAGAGAGATGAAAACAGTGAGTCCAGACTATAGAAACTGCAGGGGCAGGGCTCTTCCGCTGGCTGAGTAGTGGCCCGGGACCTGGAGGAGAAGGCTGCCTTGCCTGGTGCAGTTACAGGAATGAGCCCATCCAGATTTCAGCCATAGAGAACAACTTACAAGTACATATGCCTGTGATGGTTGCAGATTTTTCTTTCCTCTTTTAGTTTAGCAACAGAGCAGGATTTCTCAGAGTTTAATGTAGTGAATAAGATTCCCTTGGCTTGGTACAGTTCTGGCTGGAGTCCTTGGGTTTGGGACCAAACTGTACAATTTGAAGGAATTGGTTTCCCTCAGCAACTGCCGCAGGGGTCCAGAATGATTCATTCCTCATTCCCAGGTCCTTCAAAGGGCCGCAGTGACGCTGGGGCCGTGCAGCTGTCCCCTTTGTGTCTGATGCCCTGGATGCACTTTTGACCTTGGAGGCACAACCTCTCCACCATGTAGAGGCCTGTAAACTATTCCCAGCCCCTTGCTGAACTGGATTCATAAGGCACTGGGTGGCAGTCCACTGAACTTTCTGGGTCTTTCTTAGGCTATACCAGTGGTTCTTAATTGAGGGTGATTTTGCCTCTCGGGACTTTTGGCCATCTGTGGAGAAATTTTTGGCTGGGAAACTGAGGGGTTGAGGGTAGGAGTGCTACGGGCATTCAGTGAGTGGAGGCCAGGAATGCTAAACACTCTGCAATGCACGGGACAGTCCTCACAGCAAAGACTCATCCAGCCCGAAATGTTGGGAGTGCTGAGGTGGAGAAGCTCCGGCCTAAGTCATGGCAGCTGACTCCCCTTCTGGGGAAATGCCTTTTCAGTCTGTCCCAGTGATAAGGCAGAACCCAGTCCTAGTGGTTAATATCCTGGATCCTGACCCTACTCCTTCCTGTTTTAGCAAAGACCTGGTTTGCCCTGTAGAGAAAGGTTAGCAGATGTTCTTGGCTGCTGGATTAGGGAGGCTGAGTCTGGGTCCTTCAAACCAAAGCATGCATTAGGGTTGATTTCTCTCCCAATAGATGAAATGTGTTCTTGGAGGGCAAAATATCTAATTTTTTATGTATAAAGCACAAGTAAGATGTACAGTATAAAGTATTAAAATGTCATGGAGTGTGTTTAGGGAGAAACTTGTCTACAAAGGCTCCTGGTAGAGGGGCAGTAGTGGAAAAAAAAGGTGGAGAAGCACTAAGCTAAAGCAACCTCTTCCAAGTCTAGGCACGCATGAGAGTTTCTGCTTTTCTGTTTGAAATTGGCCCCTGAAGGGAACAAATAAGTAAGCCTTATTATTTATTTATTTATTTATTTATTTATTTATTTATTTATTTATTTTGAGACTGAGTCTTGGTCTTTTTGCCTAGGTTGGAGTGCAATGGCATGATCTCAGCTCACTGCAACCTCCGCCTCTTGGGTTCAAGTGGTTCTCCTGCCTCAGCCTCCCAAGTGGCTGGGATTACAGGCACCCACCGCTACGCTCAGCTAATTTTTTGTATTTTTTAGTAAAGACGGGGTTTTACCATGTTGGCCAGGCTGGTCTTGAACTCCTGACCTCAGGTGATCCACCCGCCTCGGCCTCCCAAAGTGCTGGGGTTACAGGCATGAGCCACTGCACCCGGCTGTAAGCCTCATTTTATATCCCCTCTCTCCCACCATTTTCACACCTTGTCCTTAGCTTGGCAGATGGGTATATATTTTGTGCCCATTGGAACAATTTCCTCTTTCCCTTCTTTTTCCCTAGAAGGTTGGAATGGACCCCTTATGGGAGATGGAGGCTTGTCTGGGAGAAGTAAAGCAAGTGTCGTAGGTAGGCAGACAGCAGCTGCCTGATTCTTCCCTGCAAGGGAAGGGAAGGAGAGAAGGTTCTGCTCGGCGCTTGGCCCTATATCAGAAAAACCTGGGCCCCACATTTCTGTCAGCCCTCTAGATCTCTGTCTTGACTAGCTTTCTTTGCTACCTTCATGCAGGGGAACAGTGGCCTCAAACCCAAGGACAATGAGTTCACGTCCAAACCCTGGCACTGGCCTATCAACTATCAGGTAGGATCCAAGGCTGGGGCTCCTCCCAGGAAATGGAGCCAAGAACAAGAGCAGGGAGACCGGTGGAGGCGGGGGTGGGTGTACTAGGGCGGCAGGGCGAGGGGCCTCCTGGGATGGGTTGGCCAGAGGTGGGAGTATCTGTTTTCTGCCCTAATTCTGACCCTGCTTCCCAGAGAGCTCGTGTAGAATTTGCCAGCCTGAGGTTCGTGTCCAGGCTCCCTGTCTGTGGAAGGTGACCATCTTCCTCCCCCTAATGGGTGTGGCCGAGGATGGGCTGGGCCTGGGTCAGCAGGGTGGTCTCTATTCCACAGGGCCTACGCTTCTCAGGGGTCAATGACACAGATTTCCGAGTCTATCTGCTTGGCAACCCGGTGAGTGCCTAAACATTCCCGGCTCAGGCCCTGGAGCACTTGCCCGTGGAGAGCGGCTGCGTTCTCATCTGCCCATTCCCATTTCTGCACAGGTGGTTTGGTGGCTGAATCTGTTGAGCATCGCCCTCTACCTCCTCTCAGGGAGCATCATTGCTGTAGCCATGCAGAGAGGGGCACGGCTGCCAGCGGAGGTTGCAGGTCAGGTCCTCTGGGCTCTCCCTCCCCTGACCTGGCGGCAGCAGGGCACCTGCACCCCTGGGGAGGGCCGGCTGCCTGCTGATGGGCCATCCTTTGCGTTTACCACCCCACACCTTCCCTTATCCTTTGCTTTTGAAAGGTAACAACCCCCAAGTACCCAGTGCTGTGTTAAACACTTTACTTCCTCCCAACAACACTAGAGCGTTGGCTATTATGACCCCCATTTTATGGATTAGGAAACCAAGGAACCATGAGATTAAGAAACTTGCCCCAGGACATACAGCTAGTAAGTGATAGAGCTGAGGCTCAAACCCGTGCAATCTGACTCCACAGCCCTCACTTTTAGCCCCATGCTGTGTACAGAGCTGCCCATCTTTTCTGCCACCTCCTTGTTCCATGGCCCTGTCCTCTCATGGGCTAGAGAGGAGCCTCCAGGGTTATTGAGTTCCCATCCCAGTGCTGTTCTTGGTAACTTTGGCTGCCAGACCATGGGCCACAGCACCTGAGACAGTCACACAGGCCCTTTTGCCTCTGCAGCTCTCTGTCTGAACAGTCATAGTCCCAGACACCTCCTCACTCCATCCTCACCTGTAACCTCACCTTAGCGCCTGTCTGCCGCTGCAAAGATCTGTGTGGCAGCAAAGATGTGGGAGGTGGAAGTAGGGAGTGAAGCTGTCTGCAGGCGCAGAAGGGTTTCTTTAGAGGCTGGGCTGCCTCCTGCTGGTGCTTGGTGCACCTGCCATTGGTGCCCAGGCCTCACTAGGCTGGGCCCTGACCAGAGCTCTCGAGCCCCAGCTGCTCCTCTCCAGTTTCTGTAGCGTGGTTTGGGTTGGTCCAATGAGGTGATATGACATATTCAAGGTCACACAGCAAGGAAGGGGCAGAGCTGGACCAGAGCCTGGAATCTCTGCCCGCTCCTTGTCTTCTGACTGGGCTGTGCTGCTTGGGCCCAGGGTTGTCCCAGGTCCTGCTTCGAGGAGGCGGCCAGGTCCTGCTCGGCTGGACACTCCATTACTTCCCGTTTTTCCTGATGGGCCGGGTCCTCTACTTCCACCACTACTTCCCAGCCATGCTCTTCTCAAGCATGTTGACAGGTCAGTGCCACCCACCTGGACTTGGGAGACAGAGCAGGTGGAGGGCGGGCCACTGTTGGGCAGCAGTGCTGGGAGTGACTCTGCTCCTTGACGGGAGGCCACTGTGGGGCAGCAGTGCTGGGAGTGACTCTCTGCTCCTTGACTTGGAGTGCCTCCTTCTTCTGTAGCCCAGAAGTCACCCCCTGCCTGGCTGACTCCAGGTTTCTCTCCTCTCCTCTAGGCATTCTGTGGGACACCCTCCTGCGGCTCTGTGCCTGGGGCTTGGCCTCATGGCCCCTGGCGAGGGGCATACATGTGGCGGGAATCCTGAGCCTGCTCCTGGGAACTGCCTACAGGTGAGCATCTCTGCACCTCACATGCCCTCCCAGTGTGGGCTCAGCAGTGCCTCAGCCCTGATGCATTCGAGAATCCCCTGCGGTGCTTTTAACACCACCAGTGCCCATGCCTGGAGGTTCTGCGTCACCCAAGCCCAGGTGGGGCCGTGGTTTCCAGAGTCCCCCAGGTGATCCTAATGTGCAGCCAGGTAGGAGAAGCAGGGCTTAACTCTGCCTTTTCCCCTTCTGCCGGTGGTTCAGCTTTTGTGCCATCCCAGCGCACCTGGAAGGGTACCCCTCTAGTGACAGTGACTCTGTGCCAGAACAGCTCTCAGAGGGGGAGTGTGGGAATGGGGGGCAGGGAACCCCTCTTTAGTCACCATGGCCCCCTGTCAGAACAGCTCTCCGGGTGAGGGAGGGGGGAACCGGGGGGCAATGGGGGACAGGGCACCCCTCTTTAGTCACTGTGGCCCCCTGCCGGAAGAGCTCTCGACGGGTGGGGTGGGAAGGGTGGGAATGGGAAGTGTGTGGCTGAGTGGCTGAAAGGGAGAGTTGTTTGGAAGGCTCCCCGCTTCCCCAGTCCCTGGCCTTGGTGCTGGGCCTGTGGCCTGTGAGCACATGCCTGCCTAAGAGGGTTACATTCACATGTTGACAAACACCCCTGGCCAAATAGCCCATGACAAGACCCCTAGAAGGGTTGCCCTCCTGGGCCTCTTGGGAAGAGCCCTTTCCATGATTGTCATTGAGTCAGCATCTACTAAGCTCTCCAGCTACAGTGTGCCCCAGTGGGACTCAGACAGACAAGGCCGTGAAAGAGAACCGGGCTTGGCGATGGGGAATTTCTCTGGAGCTCCAGCAGGAGGAATGGAATTCAAAGCCCCTCAGCTGAGGCACTGGGGGTGCCAACTGCCTCCTACTGGTTCTCTCTCACAGCTTCTACCTCTTCCACCCTCTGGCTTACGGGATGGTTGGTCCCCTGGCCCAGGACCCCCAAAGTCCAATGGCAGGACTAAGGTGGCTGGACTCATGGGACTTTTGAGGCCACTGCAAAGATTCCAGCCTGGGTCCAGGAACTTCCCAGGAGAGCCAGCTGGGAAGCAGTACTGGACCATCCGGCCATGAGGAAGCTGCCTAAGGAGCCCGAAGAATTCTGCTGCTCACCAGGACCCAGCTCTGGGAGTGCAGCTGGAATGGAACCCAGCATTGGAGAGAGCCGGGAGAGAGCCGCAGCTCCGTCCACAGCACCACGGAGAGGACAGCGCCTCTTGGGCTGCTCCCTCGTGCACAGCGCAGGGGAGGATGGGTGCCAGAGGGTGGGAGTGGGTGCGCGTGTGTGTATGTGAGGGCATGTTGTCCATATCCCTGTGGAATACAGACCGTGTAACTGGACAGCTGAGTGTCATAAACTCTAAAATAGTCCAGGCTATAGTAATATTTTCTGGTATTTTTTTCTGTTGGATTTCTTTGGTTTTGGTTTGTAAGATCCATCAAAAATTCTCAGACCTCTGAGAGGGCCTTGAGGGCAGAGAATACTGACCTCACCTTGGGATGTCACCAAAGGCAGAGCAGATGGGACTGTCAAAGTTGTGCTGCCCTCCCTCCCACAAACAAATGAATCCAGCGTGGAGGAAGGCGCGCCGCCCCGAGCTGGAGGGCCTGGCTCCCACCATGCCCCCCAGTGGCTGCAGGTAGCTGGACTTCCTGCCTGTGACGCACAGAGAGCAGCGGACTCCGGAGCGTCAGCCTGCCTTAGCCCTTGGTTCCTCGTTTTTTGGGATTGTCACACTGTGACACTCGGGAGGAACGATGTCCTATCCTGGGCTGCTCAGTGTTCCCAGGCCCTGTGTGCCAGAGGCCAGGTCTCTCCAAGTGCATCTAGCCTGGCCTGGAGGGCAAGGCAGATGCATTCTCCTGGCTGCTGGGAGAGCCCATGGGAACCTTGCTTAGCGCCCAAGGTAGATGAGAGACAGGGCAGGGAATCTGCGTGGTGCTGGGATGTGGGGACTCTGGCCTCTCCAGACTAATGTTCCTGTCACCTGCTGAGCTTTCCCAGTGTCACTTCTGCAGTCCTCCTCTGCTCACCCCTCCCTCACTCCGTGGGCAATTCCCTTTCTCTCTGTCACTGCTTCAGCAGTGAAGACCCATGGCACCTAGAAATGCATGCCAGCTTCCTGCGTCTACCACTCTGCAGCTCAAACAAGAAGCTCAGAGCTGCCCCTTCCACTTCCTCCCCAAAAGGGATGAAGAAAACCCTGTGGTAGAACCAAACCACCCAAGGCCAGCCCTTAAGCCTGCCTCCACCTTCCTGGTGCATGACAAAATATTTCTTTTGTCTCAGAGGACTTTGATGCTTCAATATTTAATGATGAATCCGCCACACTCCATTTTCCCTCCTCTGAAGCTCCCAACAACTCTGACAGGGTCAGATCTCTTTAAAGCATCTTCAGGAGGCGGTTGCCACGGAGACTGGATATTGGTCCCAGGGACAGGCTGTGCTACCTACTGGGTGGTGGGGAGGGAAGCTTCTGGCCATGCTTGGGCATTCAGACCAACCATCATTAATGTTAATAGAGGAAATGCAGCAACGTCAAAAGCAAGGCAGGTTGGTTAATTAGATCTGGGGCCCGATGACCTCCCTTTCCCACTGCTACAGCCCTTTTGACTTCCCCCAGCAGGAAGCGCTGTCTGTGCGGCTGAGTCTGGGCCACTTGCTTAATTGCATTTCTGGCAGGGAAGGAGAGGAGGGATGGAGAAGCTCTGCTCGCTGCTTCCACCTCACCGTGTGTCCTCCCCTCCCCTCCCTTCCTCTCCTCCCCACAGGCGGAATTGCTTTCTTCTGAGCCGGGTGGGCTCTCCTGCAGGGAGAATGCAGGGGTCTGTGCTTGGCTCTTAGCAAAGCAGGTGGCCCACAGTGACCTCCAGGAGGTGGCTGATTTTCCTTTGTGCCTTCTTATTTCTCAGTAGGAACTTGGAAGGGAAGAGCTCTGAAGGAGCCAGAGGGGCAGCCACCTTGCATGAGGGTGAGGAAGGAGAAGCCCAGCCAGCCTCTACCCATCCCTCCCTCCCAATTAGGCTGCACTGGGGCCGAACGCTTCCCTGGGCTCCCACTGCCTTCTAAGGAGCCAAGGAGAATTCCCTGCCCACTTTCTGTTCCTCCATGCCCAAACTGGCAGATGCTTCTCTGGGAGCAAGGCCACATGGGCTGATGCAGCTTTGAGTGCTCAGGTTCTGTTTTCTGGAAGTTGCTGGAGAAGGGCTGTCAGGGTGCTTCTATGAATATGGGCTTCAGCTGTAGCACTTGGCAGAAACGTGATGTGTCCCACAAACTGCTGGTGGAGGAAGAAGATGTTCGTCAGCCAATTCAACCTCCAGCCAGCTTCTTGAGCCTATTTGGTTTAAAAAAAAAAAGTCTTCTAATCAGAAGCCACTGATTTTATAATAAATAACACTTGTTTTGAATGCCTTGTTGTCCTTGTACTTAATTGAATCCGACTTGCCCTCTGCTCCCAGAAAGGCCTCCCTGAGAAGAATGTTTTGAGTGCAGGAACCACCCCGTGTGTCATGTCTGAGGCTGATCTAATTCCAGCAGAAGACCTGGGCTGGGCAGGTGAGCCTGATTACTCCAGGAGGCATTTGGATCTCCCCATGTGTACAGTTACTTGAGTAATGTTGGTCGTCATTTTGGTATATTTAAACTGATTCCAAAATAAGTAGGAAGCTGGACCTCTGATTTGTCCTCTTTTAACCTGTTCACATGGCATAGAAAGGAGTGCAAGAAGAAGTTGTCCCCTTCCCAGACAGCCGAGTATCCCAGTGCTGTAGCAACTTGCCATTCTGCCTAACAGAGGTCCCCATCTTGACAGGTGTCTCCTGTTATCAGGAGTGATGCTTAGGAGCTGAAGGCAGCAGGAGCTGACCTGAGTGTTGGACAGAGGATGGGGGAGGGGAGTAGCACTGTGCTGTGGAACTGGGGGGCTTCTGGGCTGCCTAGCCACCCTCTGGTAGGGGCTGGTGGGGAGAGAGGGGCATGTGGATCTTCAGGAGGTGGAACATGCCTACGACAGGCAGTTTAGGAAGGGGCCAAGTCACTCTTCCTTGAGTGGCACAGCTTAGTTTACAAAGTCTCAACACATCTCTGACATTTAATCCTCATAAAGGCCCAGTGAAGTCAATGATGTTTTTGTTCCCATTCTACCCATGAGAGATTAAATGACTTGTCTTAAGGTCCCACAACAAGTAAATAGTAGAGCCAGGACTCAGTGCCAAGTTTGGGTTTTTCTGCCTCTCTAGTCTTGTCCTGGGACTAGAGGCACCTTCCCAGAACAGCTGCAGCCCTAGATACCCTGGGGAGAAGGCCTGAGCACTCAGCCCGAGGTCCCTGACGCAGCACCTTCCCGTGGGCCTTCTGCTTAATGCATCAGCAGCCGCTCATCTAGGGCCCAGGTTTTCCTGGCTCCCCCAGGTGCACCCAGATCAGTGTGTGCTGGTAGATGTTTAACAACAGGTGTTCTGGGAGGAAAAACTGGTGTGTATAGCATTTGCCAATTTCCATGGTGTAAATATTCCCAACATGTTCTTTTTTAAGCTACCAACTTGATGTCACTGAATGAGAAGTTGGA
Organism: Homo sapiens; assembly: GCF_000001405.40. Lineage (NCBI taxonomy): Eukaryota > Metazoa > Chordata > Mammalia > Primates > Hominidae > Homo > Homo sapiens. The sequence continues at coordinate 77,273,795 of NC_000014.9, read as the reverse complement.
AAGAGATGCATACAGTTGGTTCTTGAAAGCCATATGAAAGCTGGCTCCAGCACACCGCTGAACCAGACCCAGTGACCATGGCTTGGTCTGAATTATGGCTGGGGCTCTTGGCCACAGCCCATTAAAGCAAGGGAGGCATGGAGGCCTACAGGATGGGCCAGAGAGACCTGAGGTCAAATCCTGGCCCCACCGCTTATTACCTATGTGAGCTTGGGCTAGTTACTTAACCTCTTTGCCTCCATTTCCTCAGCTGTAAAACGAGGGTATGATAAATAGCACCTACTTCGTAGTTATTGTGAGGATGAAAAGAGGAAATGAAGTAAGGTGCCCGGAACACTGTCTAGACATAAATGCCAGCTCTGTATTATTAATGATACATGAACCTCAATGACCAGCACTGGCTCTGGGACAGTACTTGAATTCTCCTCTAGGTTCTTACCTCCTGGGCGGATGACCCACAGGGAGGAGACTCCTGTGACTTTTACTGAGCCCCTCAAATGTGGGCTTGGACCCTTGGTCTACTGATGGGAATACATCACTCTCATCGCTTAGGCCCATCCAGATTCTCAGGCCTTTCTTGAAGGGAGCAGGGATAGAGTGCACTTACCTTGGCTTATCTTAGCACATATCTCCTGGCTCTAGGAAGACAAAGAGTGAAGCCATGGTTTGAGTACTGACTCTACTTACTAGCTAGGGCCGTTAACTCCCACTACCTCATCAGACTCCAGACCCTGGCCAGAGGAGAGAGGAAGCAAGATGGGTCCTAAGTATAGATTGCTGGCAAGAAGCGTGAGCTGGGTAGAGTGGGGTACCTGAGACCAGCCAGGTGGCCTGCACAGAGCACTGAGCATCTGGGCACTGAATAGTGAAGGTCACCAATGACACGTGTCCTTGCCCTGTGACCTGCTGCACCTGGCTGCAGGTCCACGGGACCCCAAGCTGGAAGTTTAGTCACGTCTTGTTCCTTCAGCCCCAATCACTTTGTGTTCTTGCTTGGAGACCTCTTGGACCCTAGGACACCAGCTTTTCCAGGCTGCCTTATAGCCTTGCTCTCCTGCTCCAGCCCAGAGATTTGTGAGGAAATGGGAAATAGAATAGGGGTTACCACAAACTCCTGAGTCCTTGGAAGAGGGAGAACAGCTAGATGATTTCCTGGGGCATGGCTAGGAGTAGGAAAGAAAAGTTCTGCTGAGGCACTCAGTTCTGATTCAGGGCCAGAAGGAGAAATTTTAAAGACCAGGACTCGCCACTCCATGTCTAGCACAGGGCTGGGCATGGAGCCCCAGCTGTTCATAACCAGGGGCTCAAGAACACCCACCTTCTACCCATGGAACTAAAGGAGGTGGACTAAAAGGTCCCAGAGACCTCACCACCCAACCCCTTTGCTGCACAACTGAGGAAACAGGGCCAGAGAGGCGTGGACAGACAGAGGAGATAGGCTCGGAGACCCCTGAGGGAATAATGAGAGAGAAATAAAGGTGAAAACGGGCTTGCTCTCCCAAACCTGGGCCACCAGCACTGGGCTGGGGCTTGAGGAACTTTCTGCTTGAAAGAGAAAAGTTTAGTTGTAATTGGCAGGTGGCCAATTGCACACCCTGAGTGGGGAGCATGGATTCTATTATCTGAACTTCTATTGAAAAAATTAAACAGTACTTCCGTTAAAAAAAAAAAAAAAAGGCCGGGCGCAGTGGTTCACGCCTGTAATCCCCAGCACTTTGGGAGGCCGAGGTGGGCGGATCATGAGGTCAGGAGATCGAGACCATCCTGTCTAACACGGTGAAACCCCGTCTCTACTCAAAATACAAAAAATCAGCCTGGCGTGGTGGCGGGCGCCTGTAGTCCCAGCTACTCGGGAGGCTGAGGCAGGAGAATGGCGTGAACCCGGGAGGCGGAGCTTGCAGTGAGCCGAGATCACGCTATTGCACTCCAGCCTGGGCGACAGAGTGAGACTCCGTCTCAAACAAACAAACAAAAAGATGAAAAATCATGGAAGTGGGGAAGGCCCAGGGAGGGAAGAGGTGAAAAATTAAAATTAAAATTAAAATTAAATCATGGAACGGTAGAATGTTAGAGCTGAACTCCCTCAAGATTCCACCCTGGCCAAGCAGAGCTGGGATTAGAACTGGATCTCACGGCTTTCTAAAGATGGAGTCTCAAAAAAACCCAGGCCTGGCTGGGAATGGCTGTGGTCTTGGCCCTGTCCCTACGGCTGAAAGCCCTGGTGGCCCCCAACGTGTGCTGGTGCCCTAGTCAGACCGAGAACTAGGCCCCTAGGCCGCCTCCCCAGGCCTGACCTGCAGGCCAGGTGGGTGGCAAACTCAAATGCCTCTGGCAATGCGTGAGTTGAGGGGCCTGTGGAGAGGGGGCGCATGCAGCGCCTACCTGAGGCGACCAAATTCAACACAGTGCCCTCGGGGCTCGGGAGGAGAAACTGAGGCCCAGAGAGCCTCCGCGATGTCAGTTACGTTCTGCAGGCCGGGCCTTTCCCAGGCCACCATAGCGGCTGGCGGAGGGAGCGCGCGCCTTGCTGGCCTGGAGGGGGCGGGGGCCGTGGCGGCTTTAAAGCGCCCAGCCCAGGCGTCGCGGGGTGGGGCGGCTCTGGCGGCTGCGGGGCGCAGGGCGCAGCGGCCAAGCGGGGTCCCCGGAAGCACAGCTGGGGTGTCTCCACCTACGACTGGCCGCGCGCCTTTTCTCTCCCGCGCCAGGGAAGGAGCGGCTGCGGCCCCCGCCGGGCGGAGGCACGGGGGGCGTACGAGGGGCGGAGGGGACCGCGTCGCGGAGGAGATGGCGCGGCACGTGCGGTGACGGCACCCGAGCCCTGAGGGTCCCAGCCCCGCGCTCCGCGTCCCCGGGACAGCATGGAGCGCCCGGAGCCCGAGCTGATCCGGCAGAGCTGGCGGGCAGTGAGCCGCAGCCCGCTGGAGCACGGCACCGTCCTGTTTGCCAGGTGAGGGCTACACGAGCGCCCGGGGATGCGGGTGGAGGCTGCCTCGGCGGGAAAGGGGTCACGCGGCAGGACCGGCCCCGAAGGAGGGAAAACTGGCCGCTGCCGGGGCGCTGGGGCGCCTGCCAGATGTGCGCCAGAGGAGCGGGGCGCGGCGACGGGTGGCACAGCCCCTCTGCCTCTCTCTCGACCGTGGGCGCCTGTTGCCAACCAGCGCCGCACACCACTCTCCCAGCGGGGCTCACCGGGCCGGGCGGGATCCCCTCCCGCGGATCTCCCCACATCTGGGCGGGTGGACCTCCGTCCCTGCGCGGCGCCTCCACCCCGCCTTGTGCCTCCTGCGTCTTCCTTAGGTAGCGACTGCAGGGGTGCACCCCGCTGCCGGTATCAGGGTACTGGGGTGCCCCGAGAGCCGGGGAAGGGAGATGTGTGGGGCGAGCTCCTGCGCCCGCGTGTGAGCGGTCTGGCTCCAGGTGTGTGGATCCCTGACAACCAACAAGACAAACCTTTCCGAGGAAAGAGCCAGAGAGCAGCCGGGGAAGGGGTGACAGATGCGGGAGCCTCACCGCAGGGGAGAGGGGTGGGGGGTGTGCAGGCCGGGTGGGAAGGGAAGGCCAGTCTCCAACCTCAGCTCGCAGTTTTGGTAACCCTTCCGCTATCACCAACCGGGCACTGCTTCCCTCACCGTGGTGTTACCTATCCTTGGCACCCTTGGACAGTCCAGAACTTCTACCCAGGCTTCCGCAAAACCACCCCCAAGACAAAAGGGGAAAACATTCAGTTACCCGGTGAGACCTCCCAAATGCCGAGGAGGGCCTCTGCTTCTGCCTCCGGACTCCCCCCAGCTCACTTTTTTCTCAGGCACCCGCTGTGGCTGCACTACATCCAAGCTGTGTGACCTTAGGCGAGTTCTAGCCTCCCCGGGCTTCTGTTTTCTCCTCTATAAAACTGGGATAACAGTTGTACCCACTGCTTAGGACAGTGAGGAATACAGTTAAAAGTTAACCACACGGAAAGTACTCAGCGCAGGGGGGGGGGGGGGGGGGGGGGGGGGGGGAGAGGGAGAGGGAGAGAGAGAGAGAGAGAGAGAGAGAGAGAGAGAGAGAGAGAGAGAGAGAGAGAGAAGAGAGAGAGAGAGAGAGAGAGAGAGAGAGAGAGAGAGAGAGAGAGAGAGAGAGAGAGAAAGGGCTTTCCTCTCCACACAACGTAACTCCAGGTTTCCTGTTTGGGGACCTCTTCCTGTCCCAAATCACACCCCTCAGCTATTCACCGAGGGACCCCTGCTTACCAGAGGCCCTGGGACACATTTGCCCTTTCTAGGATGCTGCCCAGAGCCAGTAGAAGGCATGAGGAGGAGGGCACTACCGAAGCTGGCGGGGGAGCAGTGCCAGGTGGGAGAGTCAGCTGTGGTTTGCAGCTGAGACCTGGCTTGGCACCCCCGCCCGCTGACTGCAGGACAGCCAGGCTTGCTGGGGCTTGCAGGAGCTCACACCCCAGGGCTAACACCTGGGCCTCACTCCCACAGGCTGTTTGCCCTGGAGCCTGACCTGCTGCCCCTCTTCCAGTACAACTGCCGCCAGTTCTCCAGCCCAGAGGACTGTCTCTCCTCGCCTGAGTTCCTGGACCACATCAGGAAGGTGAGAGGGAGGCAGAGCTGCTGTGACCTCTGGGATCCAGCAGAGCACCTCCCTGGTGGAGAATGGAGAAAATGACTTTCTGCCCCAGGTCTAGTCTTACTCCCTTCCAGTTCCCCCAAGCAGGGTACAGCTCCTTTCCCTCTGGGCTGGATTGGTCTGGGACATCAGAATCAGCCTCTTCCCCTACCCTGCGTTCAGAGAGCTGGTCCCAGCCTGTGTCATTGCCTTTGTCCTCTGGCTCCCATAGGTTGTGTTAGCACAGATCCTGGTAATTGGGAACTATCTGCCTATGAAAATCAGGCTGAGATTTTCTTAGAATCTCATGATTCTCAAAGGGCCTCAGTTTCTCCTTGTCCCAGCAGACAACACTCTCCAGTAGGTGTGTTTAGAGATGTGAATTTCTCAGAGGAGAGAGGCTTCCTTCATGGGTATAACATTAGTAGTTTGGCCACCACGTATCGGGTGCCCCCTACATGTAGTAGACACAGGCTGCCTTTGACCCCTGATCTTGGAGAACTGAGGGTCCTACTGGCCTCTCTTGCTTTGGGACCCTCATGCCTTGGGCTGTGATTGTGAGCAGATGGGGCTGCTCTGGCCTCTCTGTTTCACTGCTGCCTTGGCCTTGGCAGGTGATGCTCGTGATTGATGCTGCAGTGACCAATGTGGAAGACCTGTCCTCACTGGAGGAGTACCTTGCCAGCCTGGGCAGGAAGCACCGGGCAGTGGGTGTGAAGCTCAGCTCCTTCTCGGTGGGTAAAGGAGCTCTGACTCTCTCCAGAGCTCCTGGCCTGGGGCCACTTCTCTCTCCCAGACCTCCCCTTGCCACCTGTTCTCTCTCCCATTCCCATATCCTTAGATAACCAGGGCTGCGGGCCTGCATCTGTTACCTGCTGTGTGGCCCTGACATGGGCTTGACCTCTCTGAGCTTCCAAGTTCTCTTTTCTGATATGGCTTCTTTTAAAACCATAAAAATTAACAAGCTTTTGGGATCAGCTGGTCTGCTCAATTTTCTATTGCTATGTATCAAACAACCCTAGAACTATGACAATGCTTTCCGATTTCTCATGGCTGGGCTCAGCTGGGCAGCTCTTCTGCTCCACATGGTGTAGCTGGAGTTACTTGTGTGTTATGTTTAGCTGGGAGCTCAACTGAGGCTAGAATGTCCAAGGCCTGTCAGCCTTTGAGCTCTGTCCCTGTGATTTGTTGTCATTCACTAGTCTAGCTGAGCTTCTTTATAGAATAGCAGCTGAGTTCCAAGGGGGAGTTTTTAGAGGACAAGCCCCAGTGTGAAAGTGCCTATAAAGCCTCTGCTTGCATCACTTTTGCTAATGTCCCATTGGCCAAAGCCACTCACATGGATAAGCCCAGTGTCAATGTGGGAGGACCCTACTCAAGGGCATGAATCCTTGAGGTGTAGCCCACTGGGGGCGACTGATATGACAGTACACCACACAGTCCAGTCACCTTGCCAGATGGTGAGCACCTTGAGGAAGGAGCTGTGTTGGTCTTGTCCTCCTCTCCATCCCCAGCACCAGCATAGTGCCTGATCTACCAGGGCTACAGTGGATATTCAGTTAATATTTGTGAGATAAATAAACCTTATTTTATTATGAGTAATAATGGCAAATGAGAGCCATTATCTTTATTTATTTATTTACTTACTTATTTATTCTGGGGACAGAATCTTGCTCTGTCGCCTAGGCTGGAGTACAGTGATGTGATCACAGCTCACTGCAGCCTCAACCTCCCAGGCTCAAGTGATCCTCCCACCTCAGCCTCCCTCATAGCTGGGACTACAGGCATGCACCACCATGCCCAGCTAATTTTTGTATTTTTGGTAGAGATGGAGTTTTCCCATGTTTACCAGGCTGGTCTCAAACTCCTGGGCTCAAGTGGTCTGCCCACCTCAGCCTCCTAAAGTGCTGGGATTATAGGCGTGAGCTACTGCACCTGGCCTATTATCATTGTAGGTTTCCTGTATACAGATGCTGTGCTAAGAGCTTTTTCTGGATTATCCCATTTAATCATCCCAACAGGCCCAGGAGTTGGAGCTTCTACTTTCCCTGTATCACTGATGAAGCAGCTGAGGCTCAGAGAGGTTACATAACTTACCCAAGGTCACCCAGCTGATGAAGGGTGGAGTCAGAATCTGTACTCAGGTCTATCTGGCTCCAGAGCCCAGGCTCTTAACCCCATCATTGCTGCCTTGCAGATGAGGAAACTCAAGTCTGGGAGCAATGACTTGGTTTGGTCTAAGCTGGGAGGTCCCAGGCAATGTCTTGGCCCCACTCATGGGGTGGTTGCAAGACCAAGACAGGGGTGAAAAATGTGAGGATATAAAGCCTCACATTTAGAGGGAAAGGTAGACACAATGTGATACCCAAGGATTTGGGTAGGACCCTGCTCAGGAAGCATGGACTCAATGCAGGAGAGGAAAAAAGGCCCAGGAGCCCTAATCAGTCCTAGGCCTCAGTTTTCTCACCTGTGGAATGGAGCAGTGCCTTTCTGCCTTTGGAAGTGACAAGGTGCCCCTTGCCTCTGCAGACAGTGGGTGAGTCTCTGCTCTACATGCTGGAGAAGTGTCTGGGCCCTGCCTTCACACCAGCCACACGGGCTGCCTGGAGCCAACTCTACGGGGCCGTAGTGCAGGCCATGAGTCGAGGCTGGGATGGCGAGTAAGAGGCGACCCCGCCCGGCAGCCCCCATCCATCTGTGTCTGTCTGTTGGCCTGTATCTGTTGTAGCCCAGGCTCCCCAAGCTTCCCTGCATCTTGGTCCTTGTCCCCTTGGCCACACTGGAGAGGTGATGGGGCAGGGCTGGGTCTCAGTATCCTAGAGTCCAGCTGCAGAAGGAGTGGCTTTTCCTCCAGGAAGGGGCTTCTGGGTGTCCCCTCATCCCCAGTAGCCTCTTTCTTGCGTTTCTTTTTACCTTTTTTGGCACTCCCTCTGACCCCGCGATGAGTGTTTTGGTGGCAGAGGTGGGATGAGCTGGAAAGGTATGGAGGTGGGAGAGGATGGGGCTCTTCTGTCTGTCCTGCTTCTTCAGGTGAGTGCAGGCCAAGGCGGGGGTGAGATGGCTGAGCTTCCAGCGCCTTCTGTCCTGCCTGCCCAGTCCCTTCACTGCTTTCCTGCCCCAAGATGGCTTGCTTTTCACAAATAAAGAGAAAGAGCAGCTTTAGCCTTCTTGGTGGAATCCCAGGCAGTGGGAGCAGAATCAGAACTGCCAGGGAAGGGAAGGGGGACCTGGGTCTCAATGGGTCTCATTTGAGTCTCGCGGGCTGTGCAGATGCCCTGACAGAGTCGGTTTCCTTTGGCGGCATTCCCTTTCCCTCATTCAGCACTTCTGCTGGGAACTCCCTGACTATTCCGCTGCTGCAGGAACCCAGCTAGCTGGCCAGGTGGGGAGGGGCTGGGGACCGGCCAGGAAGGAGGGGTGACTTCATCCCAGAGAGACCCGAGTTCCCCCAGCCCTTCATCACCAACCCGCTCCTGCAGGAGTGAGTCTTACCTCCCCTGGCCCTCCTTTCTGGCTCAGCCTGCAGCGACTGTGAGGCCACAGCTCCTCAGATTCACTGCCCGCTGTGTGCCAGTACTCAGGCAGCTGGAGAGAAGAGAAGGCAGCAGCAGAGGCCCCCGCCCTCACCCCAGCCATCTGCACTTGTACCATTTGCTCTGTGCTGACTGTGGTCCTATAAATTCATGAGAAATAAACTGGTTCTGTGTGCCTCTCTGACCCTCGGGCCTGATCTTTTCTTGGGTCTTGGCCTGTGCCAGATGAAGCTGCAGGGCAGTGGATCTCAGGACAGGATGGGAGGATGGAGTCAGGGAGGCCAAGGCTGGAGTGGGTGGAACAGGAGGGAGGGGCCTGGGAGGAAGCTCTGGGAAGCCAGTGGCAGACATCTGTGGGGTCTGTGGCCCAAACTGGCTGGCAGACCACAAACCAGCTCTTCTTCCTCCTGGGCACACAGCTGGATGTCATGCAGCCACCCTTGCAATTAGGTGGGGCATGTGACTGGGCTCTGGCCGCTGGACCGTGCAGATGTGTGTGCCACTCCGAGGCCTGGTCCCCCAAAACTCCTGCATGCTCCTCCATGCTCTGTCATCCTTCTGCTGGTGTGATACAGACCTCACAGAGACCATGAGGGCCACGTGTTGAACATGGCAGAGCCACAGGTGAAAGGAGTCCTGACCCTGAATCGCTGCTTGGAGGAAGGTGCCTATTAATCAGAATCACCCATTTTGAATTTTATATGAAAGAGACAAACTTCTCTTGTGTTTATGCCATTACACATTTTGGGGTTAGTTAAACCCATACCCGCACTGATCCATGGTCTGAAGCAGGTCATTGGTCGGGGGCTTGGGACCCCACAGGCTGTGGGCTAGAAAGCCAGCCAGGGACGTGGGGAAGAGAAGCTGTGTTGAGTAGGCATGATTGGAGCAGGTTTGGGGTTACCTCCATGTGTTCCAGCCTCGGCGGCGGGCCCGAAGCCCACGCATGGCTGCAAGGCCTGTGCCTGGGCTGGCTGTCCTCGCCCTGGGCTTCCAGTTTCTCAGCCAAGACTGAATGTAGCAGATGCCCACGGGGCCTTGCCAGCTCCCAGATGGGGCCTCATTTTCTTTAAGCTCAGATGCCAGGCCTGCCAGGCTATGTGACTGCAGGCACTGGGTCTGCAGCATGTTAGGAACGCCTTGGCCGCTGTGGTGCCCAGAGCATTTTCTGGAGCCCTACAGGCTGCAGTGAGTGAGGGCCTCATCTGCTGTGTGACCTATTAATGGGTCAGGCTCAGGTGTCCATGTCTGGCCCACAGCTCTCTAGGTGGCCTGGCTTTGGAAAGGTCTAATGCCCTCCTCTGACCTGTGTCTGAGTCATCCTAAGCATGGATGCTTTCACCTTTTTTGAAAGCCACTCTTCTACTTAGGTGTGAGTGCGTGTGTGCATGGGCATGCACTGGTGTGTGTGCACGCGTGTGTATGCATGTGTGTGTGCACGTGTGCGTGTATGCACGCACGTCTGTATCAGGGGAGAGTATCCCTTACCTCCTCCTCTGCTCAAGGGCTCAGCCCTCTCTCCTGCATCCCTCCTCTATCAGCCCACATCTCCCCTCCTATACAAAGAACAACCCCTCACTTCCTTTCCTCTCCAGCTACCCCTTTGGTTCTTTTCTTCCTTTGATAGCAAAACCCTTCGAAAGAGCAGTCTTTCCTTGCTGTTTTCATCTCCTCACTTCTTATGGGAGGATGGGAACCTGCTTCAACCAGGCTTTGCCCCCACTTTCAATCTACTACAGTCAAGGTCACCAACCACCCTCATCTTGCCAGATGTAGAGTCACATCTTAGTCCTTATCTTCCTCTCCTGCTCAGCAGCACTCGAAAAAGTTGGTCATGCCTTTATTTTTACACTTTTTATTATGGAAAAATGTTAACATACACAAGAATCAAGAGATGAGGGAATCTCCATGCACCTCTTCCCCCAACCACACCCCCCTCCCATTTTTGTTTTTGTTTCTTTGTTTTTGCTGGAGAGTTTTAAAGCAAATCCAAGACTTCATGTTCTTTTACCTGTAAATTCTTCCATATGAATTTCTAGCTGGCACTTTATTTCACATATGAAGCCACGCCATCAATACATCTAACAAGATGAACGGTATCTTCTCATCATCACCTAATTCAAATTCCCTGATGGCCCACATTCATCCACGTGTAGATTTCCCAGACGTCTCTCTGCAGTTGGTTTGTTCAACTCAGGATGCACACTTCGCATTTGATTGTGTCTCTTCACTCTTTCACTTTGGCCTGGCCCCTCTTGCCATTTCCCCTCACCATTGCTGTGTGGGAGAAGTGGGTCATTTGTCTAATGGCCTGTTCAGCATTCTCCACTTGGCTGAAGCTGCTTCGTGGCATCTTTTGACTTATTCCTCTATGCACCGCATTTACTGCCAAGCGTGGTTAGAGCTGGGGACACCCTCCTTCCTTTTTGAGTCCCTCCTGGTTTTCCTTGCCGGTTCTCCTCCCATCTCTTTGTGCTGGCTCAGCCCTCAGACCTCCTCACCTGCACCTGCTCCCATCAAAGTCTCAGCCAGTCCCATGCTTTAATCACCACCCAGGTGCTGATGACATCTCCAGCCCGACTCCTGTATCTAGCCACCTTCTTGACATCCCCACATAGCATCTTAACCAGAACACACTCAAGATGGAACTCTTGGGGTTTCCCTTGGCCTTTTTCTTCCCAGCTTTCTCCACCTCAAACCAGAGTGTGCTGAGTTGTTCATGCTGAAGATCTGGGAGTCATCCTTGCGTTCCTGCTTTCCCTCAGACCCCACATCTAATCATCCATGAATCCTCAACCTCTGTTCCAAGTTTAACTGCTTCTTTATTCACTCCCTATCCTGGTGCAAGCTACCATATTCTCTCTCCTGAATGCCTCTGACACAGTCCCAACTGGGCTTTTTTTTTTTTTTTTTTTAGACAGGATCTCACTCTGTTGCCCAGGCTGAAGTGTGGTGGCATGATCATTGCTCACTGCAGCCTTGAAATCCTGGGTTCAAGGAATCCTCCTGCCTCAGTCTCCCGAGTAGTTGGGACTCCAGGTGCATGCCACCATGCCCAGCTAATTTTTAAAATTTTTGTGGAGATAGGGTCTTGCTTTGTTGCCCAGGCTGGTCTCAAGCCCCTGGCCCCAAGTAATCCTCTCACCTCAGCCTCCCAAAATGCTGGGATTACAGGTGTGCACCACCACACCTGGCCCCAGCTGGGCTTTCTGCTTCTACTTGTCCTACCCTGGTGACAGTGACCATTTCAGCACATAAGAGTTACATGGGTGGTGGCCAGGGGCTAAGGGGAGGAGGGAATGAGGAATTATTGATTATGGGTATACAGTCTCAGTTTTGCAAGATAAAGAGTTGTGGAGGATGGCTGGTGGTAATGGTTGCACATTACGAATGTATTTCATGCCACTGAACAGGACAGTTACAAATGGTTAAGATGGTGGCCGGGCGCGGTGGCTCACGCCTATAATCCTAGCACTTTGGGAGGCCAAGGTGGGCGGATTGCTTGAGGTCAGGAGTTCGAGACCAGCCTGGCCAATATGGTGAAACCCCATCTCTACTAAAAAATACAAAAATGATGATGGCATATGCCTGTAATCCCAGCTACTTGGGAGGCTGAAGAAGGAGAATTGCTTGAACCTGGGAGGCGGAGGTTGCACTGCACCCAGATCACGCCATTGCACTCCAGCCTGGGTGACAGAGCAAGACTCTGTCTCAACAACAACAACAAAACAAACAAACAAAAAACCCATAAATGGTTAAGATGGTGAATATGATTATGTGTACTTTACCACCACCACCACAACAAAAAAACCTGGAAAACAAACACATAAGGGGATCATACTCCTACCCAGAATCCTCCCATAGTTTCTCAGATGATGAGTGAAACTTGGAGTCCCAGCGTGGCCTGCACAGCCTGTTGCCCACTCAGACCTCGCCCCACCCTCTCCTCCCCTCGCTCACTCTGCCTGGTTCTTTGGGCTCCGCATGTGTGCCCACAGACCCTTTGCTGGCTCTCATGTCTCACCTCCACAGAGCTTGTGCTGGCCTCTCTAGTGCAAAGCATCCTCTCCCCACCTACAGGCACCCCTTGCCCCTATCCGGCTTTGTCTCTCCCTGACACCCCATTATGTAGGCCTATTTGTTTACTGCACTTGTCACGTTCTGTTGCACGGAAATGGGCAGGCGGTCATGGAAGCCACTGGGCTCTGTGTTTGGAGGGGAGGGAAGAGGGACAGTCTTTGAACCCTTGCTGAAGATGACAAGGTAGCCAGAAGTGCCCCTGACACCTGGTGTGTGGCCCTCGGGCCCACATGGTACTCATACTTATTGCAAAAGAAGATAAAGATGGCAGAAGCGTGCCTGAGCTAGGGAGTTGTCATTTCTAAGCTGGCGATGGTGAGATGCTGAGGCCACCCAGGGCATGCAGTGCCTGAGGTTGGGACTGTTTTCCTTATCCACTCACCCCTCCCTGCACACTGGAATCACCTGGGGGACTTTTGTAAAATACAGGGTACTGGGCCCCACCTGAGAAATTTTGGTTTTTCAGGGATGGGGCCTGGACATTGAGAGTGACTCTCCTTTGCAGCTGGGCTGGAGAACCTTGGGAATTGAGGCTGAGAGCTGCCGGGCTGCCACTTGTCCAGGCCGAGGGACTGTCAGATGTTCTGAAAGCAGCCTCTGTTCAGAAAGCCTGGGAACCTGTCTCCCCATAGACCAGGCTCTCCTCGCCTCTGCAAGGCCTTCCACAGAGCAGACCTAGAAACCTGGAATCTGGCCAGCAAGGAGGTTCCTCAGGACAGAAGTGAGCTGCCTCAGGCTTCCCTGGCGGGGCCCCGTGCAGCCCCAGGCTTGGTTTCTGGGCAGAGGCATGGGGCACTCTCAGGCCCCGCTGCTTCCTCCCTGCGCAGCACTCGGTCACGTGCTCCAATCCTTTCTTGGGCACAGCCCAGTGGAGCCAGCCTCCTGGGGCTCCCTCTTGCCCTGCCCCAGTCCCGTCCCCAGCCCAGGTAAATCCACCTTCAGGCCTCCGGTCCATCCTGGCCTGCTGAGTGGAGAGAGGATTGACCAACACTAACCTCCCTGGAGGACATTCCATCCTTGGGGAGACCGCCCTCCCTCTTCGGCTTGTTTTTCTGTCTCTTTCTCAGTCTCTGCCTGATAAAAGGCCCTCGAAAGGTCTGCTGAACCACAGAGTGTCCCAGGCCTGCCATCTGGGGACCCTGGAGCTGCCGGCCCCTGGGAGGGGACCATGAGAGGCAGCAGCAGGGCGCAGCCCCGTCCCGTCCAGTCAGGGAGTCTTCATGGCTTCTCTCCTGCGAAGCAGCCCTTGTGGATTTTAAGGGCTGACTTGACTTGGAAAATAATTGTTTTGAGGGGGAGAGGGGACAAGTGGACGGGTCTTGATCCCACGCCCAGGCCCACACCTTGGTAGACTTTGAGTCAGTGGCCACTGATGGACCGTAGAAGTTTGCGGAGAGGACCCAGCGAGGATGATGCAGGAAAGAGTCCTTAGGCAGCCACCCTGAGACTGTCATCCTCTGTCCCCATAGGGAGCACTGCGGGAGGAAGTCTCCCCCTACTCAACACACCCACAAGATTCCCATCTTCTGCCCTCAAATCTGCTCTGCTCAGTCACGAAGCAGAACAGTCCGCTTCATGTCCTCCCAGCCCTACTGTCTGGATGAGGTGACCAGCCTGGGTCATGCAGCTGCTGGAGGAAGGGACAGAACCAGTCTCCTGACCCTGAGATGTGTCCGCCAGGGCAGGGAACTGTTGTCTCCTTGCCACAGTTATAACAGCCTTTGCTAACGGGTGTTTCTTATCCCACCTGGCTGCCCCACACACTTCCCTCGTGCCAACCTCTCCTCCACCCAACCTCTCCTCCACCTCCCCCATCCCCCAAGTCCCCCACCCTCATCCTCTTGCAGACCTGAGCCCTGTCTGCCGCTCTTCCTGGGGCCTCACCTGAAATCTGTGTGTTTTGAAGTCTGGCCACTAGCCTAGCCCAGTGGCCTGCTCATGGGGCTCAGCACTCACCAGAGACTTCTGCTGCTCCTCGGGGCTGCCCTGCTGGCTTCCTGGGTAGCTCAAGGACCAGAAAGTTCTCTCCACTGCACAGCGGAGCAAGGCCAGGCTGGCCCAGATGCACAGGCAGAGAGGCAGGGGCCAGGAGAGGTTGGGAGGACTTGTTTATTCAAGGCACGGTCATAGCATTAACAAGAAGGTTCAGCATTCTGGCACATTCCTTTTGTGGTGGTGGCCAAGGTTAGCCCACACCCCCTCCCCCCCGACCGGGGGCCCCAGAGGACGCAACGCTGCTGATAGGCACTTTGCTTCCAGGGGCAGTGGAGGGTCAGGCAGGTGGGCATGGGGCCACTGGAGGCCTGAGGAGGGCCCCTCCTGGAGGCTCTAGGCAATACCGGTTCCTGGGCGGCAGCTCCTTCCAGAAAGGATTAAGTCAGGAGGTGATTTGGTGGATGGAGTGGGGTGGGGCGGCTGGGAAGTGGCTGGCAGAGGAGTGGGATGGCAGTAGGTGGGGGGAGGGGGGCAATGGGTGAGGCAGGTGTGGGCTGAGGCAGGAGGTGCCTGAGAGGGCCTGGATGTGGTGGCGGGGGGAGGCTAAAAGATGCCCCCTGCTCCACCATCCTGTAGTGACCATGGGAGGTCCAGATGGAGCCAACTGCCATGAGGCTTTGCTGGTTCCCCTAAGAGTGGACTATGGAACCTTCTCCACATGCTCACCACCTTCTCTCAGAGCCAGGCTACACTGGACCCAGGTTCAGAGGGAGAAGCCCCCAGTCATCCCGCCACATTGTCTGCCAGGACTTTTCCCATATGTGGCTTCCACAGTCCGGCAGGGGCTGCAGGGGCTGGGGGCAGGGGCCAGGGAGCTGTGTCCAGCAAAGAAGAGACCCCAGGCCAGCTTCTGGTGTGACCCCCCACACCCCATACACCAAATACACATGATGGGGTCGGGCAGGGCCTGGAGCTGGCCACCTCCCCATCATGTGCCAAGCTCCTGCTGGGCCTGACCGCTATGCTGTAACAGCGTACTTTCCCCTTGTTGGTTGGTGAAATTCCAGTGGGGAGGGGGCCTGTGGGACCTGGGTGTGTAGGGGCCAGGCTAGGACCATTTCCCCTTTATTCCTAGCTGGACAAGGAATGGGAAAGACAGCCTCTCTCCAGCCAACCCAAGCTCTCTGGAAAGACACCCTCATGCCAAAATGTGGGCCATGCCCTGGGGGTATAGCAGTTTCTGCCCATTGAGCACAATTTCTCACCTGCGGTGAAGCTTGGAGCTTCTGGGGCTAGGATGGGGCAAAGGTGGGGCAGGGACAAGGTCTAGGTGATCTGAGTTCAGGGCAGCCATGTGCCTGGGGCCTGGTGCAGGTGCTCAGGTGAGGTGAGCCGGGGGCCGGCCTTCAGTAGGTTGGTGGCAGGGACCCAGACCTTTGGGGGAGGGGGCTGAAGAGGGCCCTGGAGCACACAGACCCCATTCAGCTTGGCTTGTTCTGGTTCATTGAGGCCCCCACTGGCCCTTCTCATGTCCTCCCTGGCTGGGCTGCACGGTGGTCCTGATGAGAGCCCATCCCAGAGGCAGAAGCCGGTTCCCCCCGGCTGTGGCAAAGGTGCTGAGTGTCACCATCACTGTTCGGAATTCAGCTCCCCCAGGTCTCTGGTAGTGGCAGCCCTGGGAGGACAGCCTTGCTTCTCCAGAAAGGGCTTCTCCCTGGAGCACGTGGCCTTCCCCTCCACCACACCCCTGGCAGGCCTGGGGCGACATCACGGTTGAAGCATCTGCAATGTCTGGACCAGGCCCACACTGGAGGCCGCTTGGGTGGTCTTCAAGGCAGGGTGCAGGGGCAGCCCCGAGAAGGGAGGAAGGGTCCTACTTGGGACGCAGGTGATGGTCAGTCCTTAAGTTTGAAGCATGGGGTTCTTACCCTAACGTACTGCCCATCTTGGCCAAGCTGGGGGCCCAGGCACTCAGTTGGGTAGGAGGCAGGAGACGCTTTTAAGTGGCCACATCTTTGGCTTCGGGGGTCTTCTCTTTAGGCCCTGGGGCTTGGGGAGGTATAGCTGGTTTCCCACCACACAGAGTTTTGGGGAGAAGACCCCCCTTCCATGAATTCGGCTTCTGTCGTCTCACCCCACTTTGTGTTACCCAGCAAGGACTAACCAAGGTTTCCTTCTGAAAAATGCACACGAGTCTCATTTGATGAGCCCTGAGTGATCACGCTCTAGCTACCCTTGTAAGAATAGAAAGAAGGGCCTCTGCCCTGCTGCTCCTGGGGACATCTGATGAGGGCAGAGGAGCAGGAAGGGGCTGAGTTACCTCTTCTCAGGTCTACGCTTTCAGTTGGCTCTTGCTCTGGTGGGTGCAGAAACTTTCTCTTTACAGATCCCCATGCAGGGAACCCTGTGATGAGGTGGTCCTCCGTGTCCTGTCAATGTGCCCCGTGCACATACCTTTGCCTCCTCAGACTGCAGGGGAGGAATGGGCCGGGGCTGGGAGGAGGAGCAGCAGCAGAAGCTCCTTGGAAGGGCAGCTGATGCAGAGTGGTGATGACCCCACAGAGCCTTCGGCAGCCTCCTTCTGTCTCCTCCCTTAGGAACACCTTCTCCATCTTGGTCCCAGGAAGGGACCCCAGCGTTCAGTCTCTGTGCCGGGGCTCCAGCCACCTCTCTCAAGACATGTGCTTGCCTGTATCCTCCCATCCCTTCCCAGGCTCCTTCAGCACTGCCGAGCACCCCCAGTTCCAGCCGGGCAGCAGGTCAGGACCCCCGTATGGCCCATGGCTGGGGTGGTGGATGTCTCCACTGTGGGCTTCTCAAAGTCTGCAGGAGGTAGTGGGGAGGTCCAGGCCACCCTCCTGCCTCCCCTTGCCAGGCCCTCCCCTGACCCCTCAACAAGTCGCCAGTGGAGGCCTCAGGTCCCGGTCAGTGGTACTGGTTCTGGCCCTCCAGTTCCAGCCCTTCCTGGAACTGGGCCGAGTCTAGCTCCCTCGCAAAGCCCCTCAGACCACTCTCTTCTTCTCCCTCTTCCGGCTGGTTGTTCATGGTGCCATAGGTGTGCCTGGCTGGGGAGGAGGCGGGGGTCAGATTCAACTCCGGTTCTTGCAGCACGGTGGCCACATACAGCTGCTTGGGATAGAGACAGGGGACAGGAGCAAGGTCACGTTGGGGGCAAGGCCCTGGGCACACCCTCTCCCCTCATGCCCCACCCCCATCGCCTCTGTCTCCTCCAGACCTTGGAGCCTGCCTTCTTCCCCAGCAGCCTGGGTCCTGTCTGTCCCACCCACCTAATTGTTCTTGATCATTTGATGAGCATCTAGGTGCTCCCAGGGCTGGTTCAGTGGCAGGACTCCCCACTCCTAGTCCACTGCTCCTTTAGAACATGTCCCATTCACTCTCAGTTCCAAGTCAAGCTGCATCCAGGGGAGGTGACATGAGGCTCCCCTCAGCTGAGGTCTGGAGAGACCCTCTTTCCTGAGCTAGTGCACCTTCTAATACAGCTTCAGCAGCACATTCAGAACTCCCTCGGGATCTGTCACTGGTTTGGCCTGTCCTCAAGATGTGGAACTGCTAGCGGAGACTTTGGTCACATGACCTGTCACACCCAGGAATGGTCCCCATGCCTGGGACGGCAGCAGATAGAAAAACACAGGATGTACTAGGAAGAAGAGCAATTGTCATCCTCTGAAGTGGCTCTTAAACCATCTCCTTACTTAGAAAATAGGTTATTAGGGAATGGAATGAAACCTTTCCCATAGGAGTTTATTTCAGTGAAACCAAACAGCCCTGGTTGAAGGAACGGTTTTCCTACAAAAGAATCTAGACATTTGCGTGGTGCCAAAGTAAGCCATCTAGATGACCTTTTGGTCATAAAGGGGTAAATGTCAACTGAACCATGGAAAAATCCACCTGTCATTCCCCTAATTAGAAGGTCATGACGGCATCATTAATGAATGGGAATTAACAGGATGTTACATCTCTCTGAGTGTAAATTGCAGCACTACCTGTAATGTGTTCTAGCCCCATGTTGAACTTGCATCTATCAAGCCATCAGATCTAACTTCCAGCATTCAGGAGATCATGGAACCTGTCATAAGACATCATGAACAGCCAGAAAAATCCAGGTGGAACATTCTGCAGGACTGCTGGCTTGGTCTCTCCAAGTCATTTAAAAGGCACTGTGCTAAAATAAAAGGGACATGAAAACCTGAGGCACATGTGCTAGATTTGATATTGGGTTGGACAAGCTCTAAAAGATACTTCTGGAACAATTAAGGCAATTTGAATACCGGCTGGGTGTTCAAAGAGATAAAAAATTTATATATATGGAAAAAGATTGTTAACTAAAAATGCAGGTTATAGGCCTGGCGTGGTGGCTCACGCCTGTAATCCCAGCACTTTGGGAGGCCGAGGCGGGTGGATCAGCTGAGGTCAGAAGTTCGAGACCAGCCTGGCCAACATGGTAAAACCCCATCTGTACTAAAAATACAAAAATTAGCCAGGTGTGATGGCATGTGCCTGTAATCCCAGCTACTCGGGAGGCTGAGACAGGAGAATTGCTTTAACCCAGGAGATGGAGGTTGCAGTGAGCCAAGATGGTGCCACTTCACTCCAGCCTGAACAACAGAGCAAGATTCTGTTTCCCCACCCCACAAAAAAAGGTTATAAAACAGTATGTGCAGTACTATTTCATTTTAGCAAAACTATGTAAATCATACATAATTATCTGGAAGAGATACATAGTATATAAATATCTGCAAGAAAATACACTATCAGTGGTCATCTCTGGGTGGTGGGAATATGGACTTTTTATTTTCTTATTTCTGCTTATCCTTTCCCCCTATAATGATGTGCGATGTTCATATAGCCCTGTGGTAATAAGGCAAGATTTAAAAAATAAATCCTAGTCGTGTTTTTTAAAAGCATAGGCTTTAGAGTCAGATGGACCTGGTTCGACCTTTGTCCTGACACTCCCTTGCTTGGTGCCCTGGACTCTATATTGACGGAACTTCTGAGCCTCCATTTGGGGATGAAAATCCCTACTGTGTGGGTTTATCAAAAGATTAAGAGCGAAAACAGCAAAGCGCCAGGCTCATAAGAAGATTTCAAAAACTTATTGCTAACAATATTCCAAGAGGGGTCCTTTTGGAAGGGTCCCAAGAAAAGAGAGACTTTCTTGCTTTGAAATCCTTGTGGTCTCTTCATTATGGAAGCACCTACTCCTGTCCCCTCTCAGAGATAATCTGTGCCTGTGTGTAGGGTTTTTCAAAGTGAGGCAAACCTGGCACTCCGGTGACTTCTGTCCACTTGCTGGTGTTTTGTCTGTGCTTCTGTCACCGTGCACTCACTCCCAGCTCTGCCCACAACTAAAGAAAGCCTTGTCTCCCATAGGGCCCTGCCGCCCACTCCGCATTTCCACCGTGCCGAAAACTGTCTTGAGTCCCCCAAGCTCCGGTCTGTCTCCAGGCCTTCGCACAGGCTGCTCCTCTTCCTTGAAAACTCTTGCCCCACACCCTACTTCACCTGGCACCCCGTATGCCCATTCCTGGGGTCAGATTCAATGCTCCCTCCTCTGGGATGCTTTCACCGAGTGCCAGCCTGGCACCCTTCTTCAGAGCTCCTCCCAGGAGCCCTGGCCTTGGGGCACAGGCTGACCCAGTACCCACCTCAGTGTGTGCATTGGTGGCTCTGAAGCTGCATTTGTGGCAGGGATGCGGGTGGGTGCTTGTGCCCATTCCCCTTCAGGCCGAGCCACTGTGTGAGAGACAGCACCCAGCCTGCAGGCCCTGCACTCTGCACTCTGAGCCAGCCTCTCTGCACGCAGACAGGCTCGCTCATTTCGGCGTCCCTGCCTTACCATCAGTGCAGACTTCTAATAGTTCCCTGAAGCTCTGTCTGTGTCGCTCTGCCTGCACCTGTGCCTCAGGGGCAGCCTTTGGTCCCGAGGCCAATCCTCAGCAGGCCCCCCTGCGTCTACATGACCGAGGTCGCTGTGGTCTCGGCCTCCCTGACCAAGTACTTCCTCTCTAGGTGCCTTCCAGACAATGCCGAGTACACGGTGGCTCTTCTCTTTTTCTCACTCTTCATCCAGGACCACGGCAGCATTTGGACCTGGGCCAAGTCCTGCTCCATTAGAGGAGGGAGCCCAGGGGTCCCCCATCTCCTTCCCCATACCCAGAGTGGGCAGCAAAGCTGGCATCCCCCACAATGCCACTAGAGTAGACCATCCCTGCAAGCACCACCCTCCCAACCTGTCCCTGGGACTCAGGACTCACGAGGGAGGTGGGCGTGGAGGAGGTGCTGCTTGGCTCCATGTCAAACACTGTCTGGATCTCCTCCTCCTCGGGCTGCAGCAGGGAGAGGTGGTGGGTTACAGGAGGCCTGCTCTTTGCCCCTCCCCATTCATCCAGAGGAGCCTCAACTCCACACCTGGGCTTCTCACCACCTTGGAACTCAACTCATCTTCTGTCTTTCCAGACCTTCAGCCTGGCAAGACTGAGACCCAGGGGGACAGAGAGAAGGCTGGGATGCAAGGGAGTCCCTTCTGGAATGTTCTATTCCCAAGGGCCATCACTGGGGGAAGTAAGCAGAGCTGGAATTGAAGTTCAAAGATGAGCCTGCTTTGACTCCAGGAGAAGCCTTGACTTCAGCACTGTCGTCTTTCCTCCTGTGGCTTCCCCTCTAATTTGGAAAGTGTCCTACACCAACACAGCCTAGGTTCCTGGCCATTCTCCTTCTCTAGAGTGGACACCTGGCCAACCCAATCACATAATGCTGCTGTATTAGACAGAGTCAGCGGGGTCCTTCACGAGACCCTTCACTAGTGTGGTGTTCCAGCCAGGCGTGGAGAAGGAAGGCTGGGCGGAGAGGGCAGTGGGCACCTGTGCCCAGAGCCCTGGACACAGACAGAGACACCAGAAGCAAAGAGATCCTCCTCCGAGTCCCTCCTCAGGCTCAGTAGTGTGTCAGTCCTTAAAATCAGCTTTCTTTTCTTTATATACATTCATTTAAAAAGGAAACAATTCACTATTATAAACAGAAAACTGTATTTCAGTTGCCATAGGCAGAAAGTTAATGTTAAATACGTAACCATGAAAAATGAAAAATTATGTTGTGATCCACTGGAAATCATTCCAGTGCCCCAGGATAGACATCCATTCTGGGAAATGCTGAGCTAGAACACACAGTTGTTGGCATGGCTCTAAAAGGGCATGGATTGGCTCCCCTCTCCTAATGATTAGGCTGGGCCCACTGCCAACAACCAAAGGAGTCATGTGGGGCAGGGGCCACCTCCAAACATGGCCACCTCAAGTTCAATAGCCTGGGGTCTTAAAGGAGAGAAAATGACAATCCCCCCTCTTTTTGAATCATCAGCAACTCCCCCCGCAACCTCCTTTGCTCCATCCTCTCTCTTGGCCTCCAGTCCTTGGAGGCTCACAGTTCAGTGGCTGCACTGGACTCACATCGCAGCAGCCTGCAGTTTGGAGGAGGTGTCAGAGGGCAGAAAAGGAGAGGATAGCTGTCTTCTGGATGGGGGCCAGAGCCTAAGCTAGTGCAAGGCATGCACGCATGCACGCAAGGCATGCACGCATGCATGCACGCATGCACACTGGGCTCCACGCTCTACAGTCAGAGACAAAGGCGAGACCCTTTCATCCTGTGGTGCTATGGGAGCCCAGACCTGGAGAGTATCCTACAGCTGTGTCCCCCAGGGACCAAGAGAACCAGGAGGAGGGGCAGGCTGGCAACTCACCTCGTAGTCGGCAACCATCCGAAGCTTCCCCAGAAAAATGCCAACAAAGGCAATCACCATGGCAATGAGGAGGGTGGACAGGGAAAAGATGGTGATGGCGTGGAGAGAACCTGCCGAGGAGGAGAAAAAGTCATGGGCAGGAGTCTGCCAGCCGAGATGCCACCCCAACTGGCAGATGCCAGGGACCGTCACAGCACCACTGCAAGGGCTTTGACCTTGCCAGTCCTCCTCTGATAACAACTGGCATCTAGGAGTCTGACAAAATAACATCATCCCTTTGCTCTGTTAGAATTTGGCATCTGTGGAGTCCATGAAAAAATGTTTTAATTGACTTCAGTACCCACTGCAGTGCCCATTAAATGTGTCCTTCCTGACCTGCTGGTCACCTCCAACACCATCGTCCCTGGGAAGTATCTTTGAGTGACTATTTCTGCCAGTGCCCCCAACGCCATCTCTGACCTACACCTTTCCCTGCAAGCCCTTTTGAAGTGAGCATGCTCAGTTATCTGCACCGATGGCACAGAGAGGGAATCTAGAAGGTAAAAGTCACCTACATTACATTTGGGAATATTTGATCCCTTTTTTACGGCAGCAGTTTTCTAACTAGGTAAATGTTGTTTAAATTATGCTTTACAGCCAAAAATCACTGCTTAATGATGCTTACTGCAGTGTTTTTATAGTAGCAAAAAGTGGCAAACCTCAATATCCAAT
Organism: Homo sapiens; assembly: GCF_000001405.40. Taxonomy (NCBI): domain Eukaryota; kingdom Metazoa; phylum Chordata; class Mammalia; order Primates; family Hominidae; genus Homo; species Homo sapiens. The sequence goes on along the minus strand of NC_000014.9, from coordinate 77,251,187 downwards.
CACGGAGAACTGACTAAAACTGGTAGACTTTCATGCAACCGCTGAAAGGCACCTACGTGTTCAGTCTTTTAACAACCTAGGAAATTGCTCAGAACATTGTGTTCAGTACAAAACCTCAGGGTACAGGACTGAATGTTACAATATGGACTATCGCAGTTTTGCAAAGTAACAATAGACCAACTGCTCCCTCTCAATGTTCCCATGCCCAAAGCCCCAAAGCGCATGCCTGGAAAGGGGGCTGGGAACAAAAGACATCAGGTTCTGGGTAAGATGATGGGTCATTTACATGTTGGTCTTTATATTTTTTCTATTTTTGATGATAAACATGCAGTCCTTTATTCTTAGAAAAAAAGCATTATGGAAAAAATGAAGTCTCTGGGGTGGCAGGGAAAGGCTAGCGGGATAAGCAATTGGGGGTGATGGCAAATGGGTAAGCCACATAAATGACTGAGAGTCGACCGTATGGATGCCACCATGGCAGGGAGAGAAAAGAAAACACTGCCTCGGATTGCCTGAGCTCAGGAGTTCGAGACCAGCCTGGGCAACATGGTGAAACCCTGTCTCTACTAAAATACAAAAAATTAGCGGGGCGTGGTGGCACCCGCCTGTAGTCCCAGCAACTCAGGGGGCTGAGGCAGGAGAATAGCTTTAACCCGGGAGGCGGAGGTTGCAGTGGGTCGAGATCAGGCCACTGCACTCCAGCCTGGGCGACAGAGCGAGACTCCGTCTCTAAAAACAAAAGAAAAAAAAAAAAAAAGAAAGAAAACACCGCGTCTCCCTTCTCCCACCACTGAGAAGGTTAAGGTCAGGTGTCTGAGGGAAGGGCAGTGGGGTTGGGGGTTGCTGGGGGTTAAGGTGCCTCCAACGGGGAGAAAGCTGAGAGATTTCTAATCTGTGGCCTGCAGGGACTGCTTCTGGGAGGGTGTCTCTGAGCTCCCCTGGGCAGGAGCAGTAGCTGTGTGTAGCTAAAGAGTGAGGAAAAAGCTGGCCCCTACTGCAGGCTCTGTTTCCTCTTCCAGGTTTTTTGGCAACCCATAAAGCCAGGCATCTACCACTAGGCACCGGCGGCTTACGCTTATAATCCCAGCACTTTGGGAGGCCTAGGCCAGGGGATCGCTTTAGCCCAGAAATTCCAGACCAGACTGGGCAACATAGTGAGACCTCATCTCTACAAAATTAAAAACAATTAGCCAGTCATGACAGCTCACGCCTGTAGTCCCAGCTACTGGGGAGGGGGAAGTGGCAGAATTGCTTGAGACCAGGAGGTCAAAGCTGTAGTGAGCCGTGATCGCGCCACTGTACTTCAGTCTAGACGACAGAGCAAGATTCTGATTCAAAAAATAAAATTAAAAAACAAAACAAAAAACCAGGCATCTTATGGGATCCCAGAGGAAATGTCATGGGAACTGAGCCTCCCAATAGCTGATACTCTATTTTCCACCCGTCTAGACTTAGAAAGAAGGAATATGAGGTTTCCTTCCCTGAGCGCTGGAAACCCAAATCCACACCTGGGGACCATGTTGGTCCAGGGCCTCCTCTTAGCCTTGAAGCTCAGCTGAGACTCTAATGTAGGCCCTTTAGGCCCAGAGAAGTCACTGGGTGTGGCCAGGTCTGGTGAGCAGCGTCTTGCCCTGCCTGGGCTTTTCTCCTCTAACAGGGTCAGTGTTAAGGGACTCACAGAACAGTGGGGCAGGTGGAGGTGGGGTCTCCAGGCTGGCTTGGTACCTACCCAACCGCAGGATGGAGAAGAACAGCATCCAGAACAGACCCAAGAGTGGCGCAAAGATGGCCTGGGAGACGGCAGCCATGTGGATCTGCTCGTTCAGTTTGGTGGGTGCAAAGGAGTAGTACATGTTATAGCGATCCGTCAAGTGCTTCATGCACAGGTAGAGCAACCCTGGGGGACAAAGGTGGAAACTTACTCAGTGGCCCCTTCAAGTCTGGACCTTTGTGGCTCCAGTGTCTCCACAGGCCTGAGAAGCCAGATCCACGGCTGTCAGAGTCACAACAACCAAGGATGGGTTGGGGGAGCTCCGTGGTACTGACCTCCGGAGCCAGCAGCTTCCCTTGAGCCCCGAGAACTGACTGTTTCAGCTTGGTGAAGAGTCATTCTCTCATGCGTTCATTCAACAAACATCCCCCATCGGCAGCCATCCAACCTCAGCTGCCCTGTACCCCCAGCTTGGCCCTGGCCCTGACCCCTCCCTACCACAGGTCTCCCCATGCTCCAGGAGGTGGACTGATGTTGTGAGGCTCAATTCCTCCTCCCCATCTGCGGATGTGCAGCCCTTGGGCATGCCTTGGAGATGACTCACCAAAAGGCACAATGATGGGGCAAGTGATGCTGTACGCCATCACCACGCTGAACACGTTCATCATCCACGCATACTCACGCCCAAACTGGAAGTCTATGGCCTGGTTCTGGGGCAGAAGGCAGGTGTCACCCTGAGGTGGCCCAGTCCCCTTGGCTTGACTACTTCTGTGGCTCCTCATCAGCCTCCTGGCAGCTCAGGCCTGGAGGCAGCCTCCTTTCCAACCCTGTAGACCAAGGTGCCCCACCAACACCCATCCACACCGTCCCTCCCACCTCAACCCCCTTGGTGCTTCTAGCAGGCTCTATCCCTGACACCCTCCCAAAGGAAACTGAGGGCTGTGCTCAGCGGAGAGCCAGTCTGTACCTTTCTGATGTTGACTCTCTCTGGCTCTGATCTAGAGAAGAAGAGGCGGGTGCTGTAGCAGAAGAGTGACCCCAGACGCAGCAGCTCCATGCCTGTGCCAAGTAAAGCTGCCGTGATCACGTAGTTGACAAAGAAGGCGCCGTTGTCTGGCAGGAACACACACCTGGGCAGTGAGGGAGAGGGAAGGTGGCAACAGAAGCCACAGGGAGAGGGAGAGATGTTAAAAGGGAGGAGAGAGAGGAGAGCAGCAGAGGGAATGGGAATCGGAGTGGAGATACAGATACAGACAAGGAGAATAACATTTCCTCTCTTTCTTTTTCTCTGTCTCTCTCCTATAATATATATGTCCCCAACCCAATGAAGTTAACAAGCAGTCCCCTGAGCAGGGAGGGGCAGGGACCACATAAAGCATGGGTGTGTTAGGGGATACATGCATTGGCTTGATCCAAAGCAAGGGTGTCTGAGCCAGGTCCAAAGACTCGGGAGAATCCATGAGTGGGTTTCTGGGGGGTCTGTAAACTAGGATGGGAAAAAATAACATCTTTATTTTCACTAATCTCTAACTGAAATTTAGCATTTTCTTGCATTAAGAATGTGGGCAATACGGCAGGGCATGGTGGCTCACACCTGTAGTCCCAGCACTTTGGGAGGCCGAGGTGAGCAGATCACCTGAGGTCAGGAGTTTGAGACCAGCCCAGCCAACATGGTGAAACCCCATCTCTACTAAAAAATACCTTGAAGGATTCTGGTCCTTGCCTTATAGAGCAAGTTATGGAAGTTTGCATGTCATTTGCAACATATCTTTGAAAATTGGGATTCTCAACACTTGTTATCACTAAAACAAAAAAATCGAAATTGGCAGAATGTCCCACGTGGTCTGCATGTTGCTTTGTCAATGATCCCCCCTAGTTTAATATTCTTATTCCAATAAGTAATATCAGTTTTTATACTGATGTTTTTAAGACAGTAAAATGTAACTTTAGCTTGCTTATATAAAAAATGCAATATTGGTTGGGTGTGGTGGCTCAAGCCTGTAATCCCAGCATTTTAGGAGGCTGAGGTGGGCAGATCACTTGAGGCCAGGAGTTCGAGACCAGCCTGGCCAACATGGTGAAACCCCACCTCTATTAAAAATACAAAAATTAGCCAGGCATGGTGGCATGTGCTTGTAATCTCAGCTACTCGGCAGGCTGAGGTGGGAGAATCGCTTGAACTTGGGAGGCAGAGGTTGTAGTGAGCCGAGATTGCGCCACTGCACTCCAGCCTGGGCGACAGAATGAGACTTGGTCTCAAAAAAAAAAGCAATATCTTGTGTTTATAAAGACTATGTCAAAAATTTGATTTTTAAAATATCTTGATAACTGTAATTCAGTATAATTGTATAATTGGTTTTCTTTGTAATCCATGTATTTTGTGCACATAAAGACATCATTCAGAGTACACGTAAAACTGGCAGAATCAGAATAAGCTCTGTGGATGGACCAGTGTCAATTTCCTGGTTTTGATATTACACTATAGTTATGCACAGTGCTTCCATTGGGGGAAACTGGATAAAGGGCTCATGGAACACCCACCCTGCATACAGTTTGGGGGCAACTTCCTGTGACTATACAATTATTTCAAAGATATCATTCTGAGAAGGGGTCCCTGGGCTTAACTAGATTGCCAAAGGGATCCCAGCACAGGAAAGGTAACAAGTCTGCCCAGTGAGGGTGTTCACAAGCATTTGTCTACACTTCTGTGAGCAAATTCAGGTGCTGGACTCAGGGAAGAGCACATATAACCACTCCTGTGTGCACACACAGCAGCCCTGGTGGACACATGGGAGTACTCACTGGAACCTGATGGATGCTTGCTCTAGATAGTAGATGTCAAAGAGCCAGCGGAGAAAGACATCCAAACTAGAAGCAAAAACAAGGCAGGTCTGTTAGTTAGCAAACCTATGAGCTAAGGCTGAGGGTTCAACCATCCTCCCTTGCCCAATCTCCAAAGAAAGACCCTTGCTTTATTCCAGCTGGCCAGTCCACACTTCCCCTCTTCCTTCTTAGTGCTGGGCTGTCCTGGCCCCGAGCCCTTTGGCCTTTCAGCTCAAGGCCACCTCCTCCAGCAAACCTGGGCCAGTTTGCAAAACTGTAAGCAGACATTTCTCTCACAATATTCACTCATTTCTCTCACAGTACTCTCTCCCTCTTCTGAATTTCCACTGCTTTTTGGCTGTGTTGTTCCCATGTGGGGCTGTCAGGCAACTGGTAAGCACGCCTTGTGTCCCCAGCCAGATGATAAGCTCTATGTGGGCTGAACTCACGGCTGACACGTTAGTGTCTGCAGGAAGCCCGGCTCATGCTACACCCATGACAGGCATGGGGCTGTCTTTGAGGAGTGGGTTTGCAGCAATCACAGGCAGGTCTACAGTATCTGAAAGAGGAGGTCTTAACTCTAAGAGAGCCTGGCTAAGAAGGAAGGGATAATTGGAAGTGAGGTACCTGGTCAGTCCCATAGAGGGCAGAATGACTACCATGAACACCAGAAAGATGTAGCACTTGTGCACCATGACCAGATTCTGACTTGATCTAGAAGGAAACAGAGAGATATTCATCAATGGACGTGGCCTAATAAGAACCAAAGGCCTAACTATGTAATAGAGAGGAAGAGAGACACTGATATGGTTTGGCTCTGTGTCCCCACCCAAATCTCATCTTGTAGCTCTCATAATTCCCACATGTTGTGGGAGGGACCCAGTGGGAGATGATTGAATTATGGGGGGTGGGTCTTTCCCATGCCGTTCTCATGATAGCGAATAAGTCTCGTGAGATCTGATGGTATTACAAGGGGGAGTTTCCCTGCACAAGCTCTCTTTGCCTGCTGCCATCCACGTAACATGTGACTTGCTCCTCCTTGCCTGCCACCATGATTGTGAGGCTTCCCCAGCCACATGGAACTGCAAGTCCAATAAACCCTTTTTCCTATGTTAATTACCCAGTCTTGAGTATGTCTTTATCAGCAGAGTGCAAATGGACTAATAGCGAGTCCAATGAAACCTCTTTCTTTTATAAATTGTCCAGTCTCGGGTATGTCTTTATCAGCAGTGTGAAAACTGGCTAATACAGACATACGCAGAGTAGAGGTCTGGGCTGGGAAATTGGTTTAATTGTGCATACCGATGCCATCTCCATACACCACTGTGAGCTGTGCTGCATCTGGGAGCATCAGGAAAGAACAGCATGATCCACTAGTGATGTCTGTGCTGGGCATGGGAAGGGATGGGAAGGCACAGATGTGCCATATAGTTGATGTCTCTGTGTTAAAGAGACATTACCAAGAATACTAAAAATCCCTGCAGTTTCAGTCATCAATATAAGTCTTGTTCTTGGCCAGAGGAAAAGGCCAGGAAGGATTTCCGTTAGGACAAACCTTTTGGCTGCTGCCTGGTGGAATAGTAGGAACTTTTGGTGCGGAAAATAACTTTTGAGATGCATGCAGCTTTCAAGCCAAAGTACTGCCACCTGCCCAGGGTATGGCAAATACTTTCTACCCAGTGAGCAGCCACCATAGAACCATCAAGGCTAACAAATGGGAACGCTCCTGATTGGGTAAAAGGTTGGCATGGTGTGGGCCATATGTGATGACAGTCATAGTGAGTTTGTGGGCCCCTCTGTGTGGCCAAAGCATTCTATTGACATTCCCACACAAGTCTTTCCTCCTGTGCCTTCTGCATGGAATGCCTGGGACTGCCTAGCTCATGCCTACAGCTCCATGCCTTCAGGATATGGCTGGGGGCTGAGGGAGAAGCTCAAGGAGGGCTTGGCTTTGGCCCCACACTCTTAGACAGTGGCTCTATCTCAGCAACCCAGGGGCCCAGAGTCAACCCAGACCCTCCTTCCAAAGACAGAACACCTGTTGGTCTTTGGGGATGGTTTCAGGTATCAAAACCATCCCTTATCAATTCTCCTTCTTAGGCTAGAGGGGAGGCCCAAGTGCCAGGCTGGCGGGGAAGCCAGGGCAGGGGAAGAGGCTGGAGAAACCACAGGGCTACGAGAGGAGGCCCCCAGGTCACCTGGTCCAGTGGGCCTCGAGGAAGGCGGAGAAGTAGACAATCAGAGGCAGTATCACTGTGAAGCCCCAGAGCATCACAGAGGGGAAGAACTGGGTCACAATTGGGTTCTGCAGGGGGAGAGGGGAGGACGGCAGGAGAGACGTCAATGCAAGCATCCTCTTCCCCTTGCTTCTTCTCCTCCCACTCACTCCCAGGGCTGGCTTGCTCTCCTGGAGGCTGCAAGGGGCCTGGCCCTTCTCACTGGCTTTCCTGGCCAGGCAGAGGCTGACACCCAAGGTCAAGTGGAGTCCCCAAGCAGCTAGGCCTTCTATGCTGAGGTCACTGGAGCGGCAGCCTGAGCTTTCTTGAGTGACTTCCTCCTAAGGCCAGAGCTAGCCAGGAGTGCAACCCCAGCAAATTGCCTTTGCTGTGATGACATGTGAGCGGGGGAGGAGGGGAGGATGGAGGAGTCCCCAGGGAGAGCTGTGGCCCTCCCAGGATGCGTGGGGTCTGGGGCCTATTACAAAGTTGACAAAGGGGAACAAAAATCAGCAGCAGAAGTGGTGTGGCTTGACTTGTGTGTGTGTGTACGTGTGTGCATGCACACATGTTGACTGTATGTGTGTGCGTGCATGCACACGTCTGTTGACTGTGCATGTGTGCGTGTGTGTGCATGCGTGTGTGTTGACTTTGTGTGAGTGTGTGCATGTGCGCATGCACATGTGTGTTGTTGGAAATGAGGATGGCGAGAATATGGAAGAAGAGACCTTCTAGGCTCCTAGTAACAGTCTTGAGGCTAAAGAATTTGGAAATGGGCTAGGATCCCTCTGACCTGCACCATCAGCAGGAGGCATCCCCTAACTTCAGAGATGGTTCCTCCAGGGCTGAGGGCTCCCAGCCTGGAGTGCAGGTGTCTGGAGATGAGGGAGGTGGAGGCAGATCTTGAGCTCCCACTTCTCTGAGAGGGCTGCGTTGGGGCTTACCTCACTCTTCCTCACCTTTAACCCTACTACACAAACCAGGAGCCTGCTGCCTCGGACAACTTGCAGAGAGCAGAGCCACTCACACTTGCCACACCCTCTGGACCCCAAGCTGGCCTGGGATGACCCCGTTCATGAAGACCTCTGAGCCCATGTTGACAGGACGACACCCCCTCCAACTCACCCCAGGACCTGCCTGTGGACTCCCCACTCTCCCTTCCCACTCTAGCCCTGGTCCCTAAGACTGGCAGTCACCCACCTTCATCCCTTTAGAACAAAGCAAGCCCTACCCCGCCATTTGCACCATGGCCACCTCCACAATGTTCGCACTGTATGGGCTCCACAGCCCCCTCCCAGGGGGCTCCCCCCATCCCATCCTCGCCTGAATTATTCCTTGATCTCCCTGGGGTCCCCAGGCCTGGCCTGAGCAGAGGAGGCACCTGCAGCTTCTCGATGGGGCGGGTGACGTTGTACATGTCGATAGTGTTCATGATGATGGCAGGCGTGGTGAGAAAGAAGAAGAGGAAGAAGAGGAAGGTGTTGATTGCGATAAAGCGGGCCCACCAAAAGAAGCGGCGGACAGACAGGTGTTTCCTGGGGAAGGATGGAAGAAGGAGGCACATTTAGAGACATCAGTTCTTAGAGCCCACGTGCTGTTTGCTGCAGGCCAGCTGTGGACCCAGCCTGCCCTGGTCTAATCCAGCCTCCTGGGCCCAGACTTGCATGCAACAGGACCCTGGACCGTCCCCTGTCACACCATTTATAAAGGATCCAGAGCATAGAGCCAAAAAAAAATGGACCTGAGTTCCCTCTGCAGGAAAAGCCTTTTTGCTAAGGGTTGGATGCCACCCACACTTGTGGGAATGAGTCTGGGCATACACACAGGTTGTGGTGCTTAGGAGAGCATGGAACTTAGTCCCCTTGGAGTCTCTGTTGGGCAATGACATGGGGAGAGAAGGCCCTGTCCTGCTGCCTTCTTCAGTCTCAGAGGAGCTCAGAGGAGAGGGGAGGGATGGAGGAGGCTTACCAAATAATGTCTTTGGGGTGTGGGGCCATAGTGACCCTCCAGTAATATGATTTGACGATGGTGGTCACTGAGGACTGCTGGGGTTGCACACCACACTGGACATACTTGTAATCCTTACGGACACTGCAGAGAGGGGAGAAGAGGAAGAAATGTGGGTCTGGGGGTGGGGGGATGGGCTTAGGAGGGTCTCATGCCAGGAGCTCAGGGCCACTATGGTGGTCCTACAGATGGGGGCTCATCCCCTTCCTGGGGATTCTTGAAGCCTTGGATATGTCTTCAGGACCTTAGAGGTGGACAGTTCCTAAGGCCCAGTATCTGGAGGAAAGGGCATTTGAGGGTGCCTAGACTGCCCAGGCAGGGCAGAGGTGCCACGTGGTTCTGTTTCTGCCTTTCCCCTTAACAGCAGTGACAGCACATAAACACACTCTTTCTTTGAGATTTGATAAGGGAGGTACTACTTTTAGCCTCATCTTAATATCAATAGCTACTAATTATTGAGTTCTTTCTGTGTGCTTGACACTGTGCTAATTGATGACCAGTATCATTTCCATTGCACAGATGACTAAATCGAGGTGCCTAGAGATGTGACCAAAGAGGAGCAGGTGCTGGAGCCCCACCTCTGGCTTGCTAGCTCATATTCTGCTGTAATTAAGCCCCGGATCCTCTCTACCAAATGGCAATGTCTCAAAGAATGAACAATATAACCTTAGGTAGGTGTATTGCTTTAAACAACACAGAAACTGAATAGAAGGCATATCACTTGTCAACCCTCCGGGAGGTGAACAGGACAGATATCAGTAACCAAATTTGCCAGATAAAAAGTTGAGAGTGTAAGGAACTTGCAAAATTGTGTACCATTGTTTGTGAGCAAAATCTAGGTAGTTCTGCTCTTCCTTTGTAGGGTTGGGGTAGGTGGGAACAATGTGCTGTACAGGATCAGCCTCCCCCAGAAAGAAGAGCCCCCCTGCCCCCCACAGTTCTTAAGAGATAAATTCTGGAGCTCCTTTAGGACTTTGGCCCAGTCCTAAGGATCCTTCTGGAACATTCCAGAGTGGACTGAATTCACTCCTTGTCAACGCATGGGCTGCCAGAGGCTGGGGCAGAGAAGAGAGGGGACTGTAGAGCTATGAATTAGGGGAGGCCTGCGGCAGGAGAAGGGCAAACAGAGCTGCTCTATCCTGACGCTCTCTTATGGTGAGGAGGGAGTGATGTGTGTGTCAGCTGGGCGCAGTGGCTCACACCTGTAATCCCAGCACTTTGGGAGACTGAGGTGGGCAGATCACCTGAGGTCAGGAGTTCGAGACCAGCCTGGCCAACATGGTGAAACCCCGTCTCTACTAAAAATACAAACATTAGCCGGGCATGGTGGCAGGCACCTGTAATCCCAGCTACTTGGGAGGCTGAGGCAGGAGAATCGCTTGAACCTGGGAGGCAGAGGTCGTAGTGAGCTGAGATTGTGCCATTGCACTCCAGCCTGGGTGACAGAGCGAGACTCTCTCAAAAAAAGAAAAAAAAAAAAAAAGAAAAAAAAAAAAAAAGAAAAAGGGAAAAGGGATGTCATTCTTGTCAAGGGCAGAAGAGGGACCATGAGGTCAAAGGCTTCTCTGACCACCTCTGTGCTAAAGCAAGGACAGGGAGTGAGGAGCCCCGGCCTGGGCACCCCTTGAGAGCAGCTGGGCCCCAGCAGCTGGGGGAAGCAGGTATGGCCATCTCATCCACTGGAGAGCCAGATGGCAGCTGCCTGTGACGAGCATGGAGGGCCCAGGGGAGGCAGAAGGGGAAACTGGAGGTGGAGAGGGAGGAGAGTGCCGAGAAGCAGGAGTATGCTTGGGGCTGGGTGGGGCGCCTGCCTGGTGCTCACCGCTTGGCCATCCTGGAGTCCTGGAAGGTGACAAAGATCAGGTCCAGCCGCTTGAGCGGCACGCGGTTGAGCTCGGCGTTGAACTCGTCCGTTAGCTGCTCCTCTAGCTCGCTGTAATACTGCTCTGCATCCACCTGGGGTGGCAGGCAGCCTTCAGGGCTGGGGCCAGAGCCCCAGGAAGGCCTCCCTGGTCACGAGGTTCCTCCCCACTCAAGCCTCCCTGGATTGTGGTGGCCTTGAAGCACCTCAAGGAGCCCAGGACCCTGGCTGGCCTCCAAAGTCCCACCTCTAGAACAAGAAGAGGCGATGACTGCCATTCACCCCTGCCCTTAGATCTGGGGAAAGTGAGGCATAGCTAGGGGTACCCGGGGGCTTTCAGGCTTGGGGTGGACCCCAGAGAGGTGAGAGAATGTGTTTGCCGCATTTCCACGAGAGAGGGTGAATCTCTGGGCTGGCAGAAGTTCGGCATGGTCCTGAAGCAGGTGTCTGAGTCTCGACGCCCTCTTTGAGCCACAGTGGTCAGGTGATAAGACAAGCTGTTGCCTTCAAATGTTTCTGTCCTATCTCTTTGGGAGCCTGAGGCCTGGCAGCCTCGTGTAGCCTGCTGTGTTTTCTCTGGTCCTTCTCTCTCATTCTCCCATCCAAGACCAGAAAGGAGACAGCAGCAAGCTTCCCTGGATTGTTCTGAAGGTGGCCTCCAGAAAGGCTCCCATCTCAACAGGGAGGCAGGACATGGTGGATGGGGAGGAAGGAGCTGGGTGGGGAGCACTAGAGCAGACCTGAGTGAGGCCTGGGGCCCAACAGTGCGGGCAAAGGCACAGAGCCTAGAGCCCCAGGACCCCACCGCTCCCTTGCTGTGCTCCCAACGCTCAAGCCAGTTACCTCCTTGAAGCAGGTCCAGCACTTGCAGAAGCACAGGCGGGCACAGGGGTGGATCCTGATCATCACCTTCCCAGTCTTCTTGGCCTTGGCTGTATAGAAAAGCCGGCCCCGCATGGCATGGCGCCTGCCAGCGGTGGGCAACAGGAGAAGGACCTGCAGGTCAGGGGCCAGCAGAGCCCCATCCTCCCCTTTTACCCCCACCCCGGGCCCCAAAAGGCCCCGCTGCAGCCTCACCTCTGATCGTCCAAGTCGATCAGGTTCCTGACGTCGTAGCAGAAGTGGACTCTTGTCACGACACTGCCTGGATAGGCCTCGCTGCAGCCACAAACATGGGTGCTGAGTCGGCCTGTGGGGTTGGGGATGTGCTGCCCCTACCCCCTGCCCAGCATGTCGGCCCTGAGGGCTGGGTGGCTCAGCTGCCTGGTGTTCCTGGATGGGATACTCCATCTCTGCTCCTAAAGCTGAACCTCAGGGTTTGAACCTTGGCAATCTGAGAGCTGCCAAATCCTTCCTACACAACTCAGAACAGGGCAAAAGGGCGGAGCTCCACCCACTGGGGAACCCAGGAGACAGCTGTTCACGAAGAGATAATTAGCTCAGTGAACAGTGTCCTTGGGGCTGGGAACTTGGGGTCACAAAGGATGTCTCCAGATGATCTTCTCTAAATAGCTGTGATCCAAGGTTCCCTGTGCTCAGTAGTTGAAGCAACAGGAGAAAGAAAAATTCCCATCACCCATATCACAGCCATGCCATGCAGGAAGTCCCTGACTTCAGACACCCTGCTCCAGCTCCAGCGGCCCTCCCCATTCTAAAAAGCTGATCCTGAGCTGAGTCCAGGGAGAGCCACCCCGGGGTGTCCCAGTCCCACCATCCTGCACCAACTCACTACCCACTTGAGGACCCAGGCGGGGTTATGGGGAGGAAGCAATCCACGCCTTGGCCTACCCCAACCCACTTACTGAAAATGCTTAATGATGAGTTCTGGGTCTTCAATGTCCTTGGGCACATAGGTGATCATTAGTGTCCTTGTGACCTGGGTGGGAAAAATAAAAATGGAGAAAGAAGACTGTGCTTGCATAGGAATTCCAGACACCTCAGTCTTTTGGTGGCTCAGAGCAGGCCTTCTGCTCACAGCAGGCTGCTGATGCCAGTGCCTCCTTGCTGAGAGAGCCAAGAAAGCCAGAGCCAAGCTGGGACACTGTGGGCCAAGGAAGTGCCAGCTGCCTTAGCCCACAGCGTCCCAGCTGAGCCAGGCAGCTCTGAGGTTGGTCAACTGTGCTTCCGTTCTCCTCTGTGCCCAGCTGTGGGTGCCCTGCTCCGGACTGCTGTGGTGAAGGGAGGAAGGACTGGAAAGCTGCCATCAGGCTGGGGTGGAGGATCAGAGCTCCATGATTGGAAAGAGCTGCCAGAGCGACCCCACAGTGATTTCTGCTCTCCCTGTAGCTTCCACTGTTCCAGCGTAAAGCCTCACATCTCTAGGGAAATCCCTCACGTGAGACTGGGCCGGGGAGTTGGGAAGTAAACAAGACTCTGGGGAGAGGGTAGGGAAGCTTCCCTAAACTTCACACTTTATTCTGTGAATGGGAAATATCTTCCTGGGTCGTCACCTTTAAGATGACAGTCTGGTAATTGTGCTGCAAGAATCAGGGGTCTTGAAAGAGGCTTCTGGTGACAAGAAGGAAAGCTGAAGTAGCAGACACCAGACTGGTCAAGGGTGACCAAGCCTCCATGCCTGGCAGGCTGAAGCATTTGGGTTCACTTTTCAGGGAATGTGGATTTGCACTCTGGGGTGGGTTCAAGTGAATCAGTCCTTTTGAATGGACGGCCTGGAAGGAGCTGATTCCACACCACTGAACCTTTGAAAGGCTGAGGACGGGAACTAAGGATGCTCCTCACTCTTGCCCATCCCCAGCAGAGCATGGGTGCTGGTCCAGATGGGTGGCACTGCTGGTGCCTGCCCGTGGCCCCCCGTCAGTCATCTCTGCACACCAACACCTGCAGCATGCTTCAAATACTGCGACTGCTCTTTCCCGGCCTTGGGGCATGTTCAGCTTTTGTGCAGGGCCAAGTAGGGGAGGAGTTAAAGCCCCCAAGCGCAACCCTCAATGAACGGTGGACAGGGAGCTGGTGGAAAATACCCACGATTGCTCACCTCCAGGAAAATTCTGGGGCATGTGCTCTACACCAGCTCCCAGAGTTCCCTGGTCATGAAGCTCCACTTGCCCACAGGGGTAAGTTGCCCCTCCATGCTCCCTTTTTTTGGTTGCCTTTGCATCCTCACTCCCTTACTGGCCTTTCCTGGGATCACCTCCCATAAACAAGCGCTACTCATTCCAAGTCTCAGGGTCTGCTTGGATGGGGTCACCCAAACTGAGACGGTGGGGATACACGGGGGTCTCTGATCTCCGAGAGACTGCAGAAGGGCGAGGCACGGGCCTAGCAGGGGTGGGCAGGGCCAGGTACACTAAGTAGCAGCAGCTCAGCAGGGCCCAGACCACTTAGCATGGAGGCCCCCGCTGGTCCACTGGGCCTTGTTAATCCTTTAGTTTTCAGATGGTGGGAAGTCCAAGAGTCCCTGGGGAGGGGCGGGGCAGCAGAGGGGCAGGGATAGGAGGTACCTGGGCAGCAGCTATTTACCAACCAGTCTGAAAGTTTCATTAGGGGTGAGAGGATGGAGGGTGAGAGGGTGAGAGGGTGGAGGAGCGTGAGAGGGTGGAGCAGCGTGGAGGAGGGTGAGAGGGTGGAGGAGCGTGAGAGGGTGGAGCAGCGTGGAGGAGGGTGAGAGGGTGGAGAAGGGTGAGAGGTGGGGGCCAGGTGATTGTTACTAGGACTGAAGGGAGGAAGCTTGGCCCCTGCTCAGGTGAAACCGCCCCCTCCCATCTATCACAGTCTCCCTGGACCCTCTGAGGGCTTCTCTGAGGGTTGGAAGTGGTCAGCCCAGTGGGGAGGGACCCCAGCTTCCCACAGTGGGAAGCAGCTTTGTAGGCTACTTACCTTTTGGCTATTCCTGGGTGCAAACCCCAGGCAGTGATGAGCCATGAACATGAAGTTGGTGATGAAGTAGAAGAAGGACAGCAGGCTATGCAGCCACAGGAGCTTGCTCCTGCAGGGAGGGAGGCAGCAGCAGTGAGGTCAGCCTGTGAGCTCCCCAGAGCCCACTGCACAGAGACCCCTGGGCCTCCTCCTACCCTCAGTCTCCTGGGGCCCCCCAGCCCATCACAGTCTCCTCAGACCCCCACAACCATCCAAGTCTCCCCAGACCCCAACCCATTACAGTATCCCCCACCCCCACCCATCACAGTCTCCCTAGACTCCCCCTACCATCACAGTCTCCCCATACCCCCCCACCAGTCTGCCCATACCCCCCACCCACCACAGTCTGCCCATACCCCCACCCATCACAGTCTCCCCATACCCCCACCCATCACAGTCTCCCTATACCCCCCACCCACCAGTCTCCCCATACCCCCCACCCACCACAGTCTCCCCATACCCCCACCCATCACAGTCTCCCCATACCCCCATCCATTACAGACTCCCCATACCCCCCACCCACCACAGTCTCCCCAGACCCCCACCCATCACAGTCTCCCTAGACTCCCCCTACCATCACAGTCTCCCCATGCCCCCACCCATCGCAGTCTCCCCATACCCCCCACCCACCACAGTCTCCCCAGACCCCCACCCATCACAGTCTCCCTAGACTCCCCACCCATCACAGTCTCCCCAGACCCCCCCACCCATCACCATCTCCCCAGGCCACCACCCACCGCAGTCCCCCTGGACACCTCCCCCACCCATCACAGTCTCCTAGGGCTCCCTGCTCCCTCCCACCCATCACAGTCTCCCCATACCCCCCCACCCACCACAGTCTCCCCATACCCCCCACCCACCACAGTCTCCTCATACCCCCCACCCACCAGTCTTCCCATACCGCCCACCCATCACAGTCTCCCCATACCCCCACCCATCACAGTCTCCCCATACCCCCAGCCATCACAGTCTCCCCATACCCCCACCCATCACAGTCTCCCCATACCCGCCACCCACCACAGTCTCCCCAGACCCCCCACCCACCACAGTCTCCCCAGACCCCCACCCACTGCAGTCCCCCTGGACACCTTCCCCACCCATCACAGTCTCCTAGGGCTCCCTGCTCCCTCCCACCCATCACAGTCTCCCCAGATCCTCCCACCCATTGCAGTCTCCCCATAACCGCCACCCATCACAGTCTCCCCAGACCCCCCACCCACCACAGTCTCCCCAGACCCCCACCCACTGCAGTCCCCCTGGACACCTTCCCCACCCATCACAGTCTCCCAGGTCTCCCTCCCACCCATCACAGTATCCCTGGATCCTCCCCTCTCACCTATCACAGTCTCCCCAAATATCTCCCCATCCATTGCAGTCTTCTCAGACCCTCCCCTCCCACCGATCACAATCTCCCTGGACCCCTCTCTCCCAGCCCACATGCAGTCTTTCCAGGAACACCTTCTTGGAGTCCAGACACTCAGGTGCCTTGGAAGGGGCATCAGTGGTGAGAAAGGGTCTTGCTCCAGCTCATGGGGGGAACGTTTATTGAGTGTTTACTCTGAGCCAGATCCAAGTGGGACTTAGTGCATGGTGTGCATTTTCTCACTAGACTCAACCACACACATAGCCATGCATGTGGTTATCTTCACTTCACTCATAGGGAAAGGAGGGTGAGAGAGGGTCGGTGCCCCTCTCAAGGTCACTGTAGCAATGGTGCGCTGGGAGGTGAGCCCAGAGCTGCTGAAGTACTTAGATTCATCACTGCTACGCCATCCTGCCAACTGCTGTGGCTCAGGCCCCCATGGTTGCACAGCAGACCAAGTGAGGAAGAACCTGTGTTACCTGCAGGCCTCGGGGGAGGAGGACCAGACGGTTTGCAGCACCGCCCCTGGGGTAGGAGAGTCGTGGCACTTGGACCATGTTTGCCATCCCTGCTTTCAACCCACATGATGCCATCCCAAAGCACCTGGCTAGGATTGCTACTCAGAAATAGGGCCCACTTTATTCTACATGGTTAGAGGGGAGAAAGGTCACCTTGTTTCAAAATACCCCTGGTGCCTGGCACCTCACACGCCATTGCCATCTGCTATGATGGTGGATCCACCATGCTGCTCCACCCTCAGTTTCCACAGAAGGGCAAGGCTACATGGTCTCTACAGAATGTTCCAGCTCTCTGCCAGGATAGATTCATGGAGATTGATGGCTTTTTGCTGTTCTACTAGAATTCACTTTTTGTTGGGAAGATGTAGGTACCTCGGGCCAGCAATGGGCCTCGGGAAGGAGCCGATATCCCTGCTCTGGTTGGCATCCTCAGGGGAGGATATGGTCAAAGCAGAGGTGAGAGGATGCCATAGCCCCTTTCCGCTCATTTCAGAATTTGGGTTAAGCCAGTCTGCTCCAAGGTGTATTGCAGGAGAGCAGGGGCAGAGGGATAGGGGTTGGGGGAGGCGAGGTGGGGCAGGGGTGTGTGAACCCCACTCACACTTGCTGGAGCTGCTTCTGCAGCTTTGTCAGGAATCAGCCAAGCTGGCCTAGACACCTGGGCCATGGCATGGACCAACGGGGCCACATTTGGCTCGGGGCAAATTGATATGGCCTCCAGTCAGGTTGGCTGAAGTTGAAACCCACAGGTTCTTGGCCTGTGAGGGGAAGGAGCTTAGAGAGCATGTCCACCAGCTCTTCCCCAATGATGGACATGAATAAGGACTGAAGCTCAGTGTTGGGGGTGCACTGCTTCAGACCTAGGGCCAGTTAATGGCAGAGGTGGGGCACGAGTCTGCTGTGGGACTCTGAGGGGGACTGTCAGGCACATGATTCACTCGGGTATATGACGGCTGACTGGAACCTATTGGTGGCAGGAAAACAATCTTCAATCTCTTTCAGCACATGGTCTCTGCCTCTTGGGATCTGGGTACACTAAGCAAATAGGACCATTTCTCCACGTCTTCATGAGTGGCCAGTTTGGGCAGCTCCACTCATGACAGATGAGGACACAGGGCCTCATCTCACACCAAGAGTCCTGCCCCACCAAGAGGATGCAGCTTCTGGCATCTCACTCAGGACCCGATTCCCAGGGAAACCAGGCCTTTCTTATCAGCAAAACGCTGCCCATGTTGCAAACTGACATGTTAGACCTCCTCTCCACACCAACACCCCCAGCCAATGGAATGGGAGGTTAAGATCAGGTACCTACTCTGTGGAGACATTGACAATGGTGGTCCGAGCAAAGTGACTGCTCCAGTCTGAAAGAGAAAGAAGTTGCTGACCTCGAGCCTGGCTCCTCAGTTGCTGGGGGCGCCAGAATTCAAGGTTCCTGGACAAATGCGTGGGGTCTGGAGATGCTTGCCTTTGACCTCCTCTTCCTTCTGGTTCCCCAGAGCTTCTCCCCAACTTTTAACAAAGACATCAGAGGCCTCTTTTCCCTGGCACTGCTGACTGGGGCTCTCGGGAGGAAAGCGAGAACACTTCTTTGTGTGGTATCTCCAGGGCATAATTGGCACATAATGGACACCCAGTGAATGCTTGTTGGAGGCACCAGCCATCCAGCCACGAGCAGAATGATGAAATTAGCAACACTATTACCACTGGCAACGTCCAGAAAAGGCAACACTGCCTCATTCAGAGGAAATCCTTCTGGCTATGTGCATTAGTTTGACGGTTCAGACACCCCCTTATAAAATGTGTCTAAAAATCCTGCATGATATTATCACTGCCAACATACCAGCTCTTGGGATGAGACAAGACTCAGATATTACTCTAGTAGTGGCATTTGGTGGCATGGACACTCAGTGTGCTAAACTGAATTAATTAAGGTCTACCTCTGGCCAAGGATGAACAGGTAGAAACCTGAGGAATCAGGGGAAAGCTGGTTGCCCCTGGGGCATTTACGGTGCTATTCTGCACCACCCAGTTGTACAGTCTTCATACAGCTCCATTCAGCTTCATGATTCTAAATGAAATACTAGCTGCTATTCATTGAGCACCTACTATGTATATCAAACACTGTATAGGTATGTGGCATGTGATCTCCCAATCCCTAAGACAGTTGAGGAAAGTAAAGCTCGGGAGACTGATTTGCCATATACAAGGTTAAATCACATGTTAGTGGCCAGGTGCGGTGGCTCATGCCTGTAATCTCAGCATTTTAGGAGGCCAAGGCGGGCGGATCACTGGAGGTAAGGAGTTTGAGACCAGCCTGGCCAACATGGTGAAAACCCGTCTCTACTAAAAATACAAAAATTAGCCGGGTGTGGAGGCGGGTGCCTGTAATCCCAGCTACTCAGGAGGCTGAGGCAGGAGAATCACTTGAACCCAGGAGGCAGAGGTTGCAGTGAGCTGAGATCGCGCCATTGCACTCCAGCCTGGGCAACAATAGCAAAACTCTGTCTCAATAAATTAAATAAATAAATAAATAAAATATAAAATAAAATAACATATTAGCTAGGCAAAGGTATTTTCTGGGGAGCAGGTGTGGGTAAACATTGTGGAGCCATGATTTTTCTGTTTTAGAAGCCAAGGTCTCATCCACAATGCTGTTCCCTCCAAAGGGCTCACCCTGTTCCAATGAGTGGGAGTAGAGGTCCTACAAGACAAATTCTGCACCTATGGTGTTATGTCCAACAGAGTGGGTTCAGGGATCTTTGCAGTGGGTCACATGTCACAAAAGGGTCTCCAGGAACGCCCAGCCAGAGTGGGGCCATGAATGAACACTCAGTTCCAAACTGAATTAATACTATGTGCCTGCTGTGTGTCAGGCTCTGGGCCAAACCTGTGACAAAGGAGGAATCGTCTCCAGTCTCCACATGAGAGAAGCGAAGCATGGTTTGTTCAAGTTCACACAACAACAAACTCCCAGAGGCAGGATTAAAATAGATGTCTAGACCCTCAACCCCAGCCCTGACTGGCTTGCCTGGCTGCCTCTCAGGTCCAGCTGCTGCCCCAGGGCCAGCTGAGCTTTGCCTACCCAGAACAGATCCAGTATAGTTGATGGGCAAAATGATGCCCAGGGAGGGGATACAGATGATGAGCACAAAGATGATGAGGTGGTACTGGAACACGATGTAGATGCGCGCGTCGTCCCCACACTTGTTAATCAGATCCTCGTCCCTGGAAGAGACACACAGACAAGGACGTGCCTCAGGAGCCAGCGTGGCCACCACTTGTTGCGGGGAGGTAGAGGGAAGGGCAGAAAATGATCACCCCCTCCCCAAGTTTTTTTTTTTTTTTACTATCTCTATATCTCATATATAAGGCAACTTCGAAATTGCCCTATATCTCAAAGCCTCGGTTATCCTTGAAGTATACTTTAACTGAATTTCACAGACATATCAAAGATAGGGGCTCTGTTACAGATACACACTCAGGAATCCAGAAACACTCTTGAAATAGAGCATGCATTCATCCTTTTATTACTTCTTCAAACATTTTGAGTGGTTGCTATGGTGCAGGCACCAGATAAAGCACTTGTGGTACTGAGAGGCACTCTTAGGAAAAAAGGAACACCTGAAACCCATGACGAGATAATGAGCTATCACTCCACACTGCCAGATTTGCCAAAGTTGGAAAGTTGGACAACACTAAGTGCTGGTGAGAGTGTGGGGCGCTGGGAGTTCTCCTGCTCTCATGGGTGTATATGCTGGCCCAGTTACACTGGAGAACAGTTGGTATTATCTACTGAAATGGAATACATGCACATTCTATGACCCAGCAATTCACTCCTAGGTTTATACCCAACAGAAATGCATGACATGTGTACCTAGAGACATGTATAAAAATTTCACAGATGCATTACTTGTAACGTCCTCAAACTGGAAACAACTTACATGTCTATCAAGGTGAAATGGACACAAGAACTGTGATATATAAATCATGAAATACTAGACAGCAGTGGTCCCTAACCTTTTTGGCACCAGGGACCAGTTTTGTGGAAGACAATTTTTTCCATGGACCTGGGTGTGGGGTGGTGGGGGGGCAGATAATTTTGGGATGAAACTGTTCTACCTCAGATCATCAGGCATTAGTTAGAGTCTCATAAGGAGCAGGCAGCCTAGATCCCTCATATGTGCAGTTCACAATAGGATTTGTGCTCCTATGAGAAGCTCATGCCGCCGCTGATCTGACAGGAGGCAGAGCTCAGGTGTAATGCTCGCTCACCTCCTGCTGCGGGGCCAGGTTCCTAACAGGTATCGATCTGTGGCCTGGAGGTTGGGGACCCCTGTTACACAGCAATAAAAATGAATGACCCATAGCTGAACCTCACAAACACAATGCTGAGTAAAAGTTACCAGGCACAAACAACACATACTGTGTGGTTTCAAACATAAAGTTCAGCTATAGGCAATACTGAGCTATAGAGTTAGAATGGGATGGGGATGAAGGTTGGGGGACAGGAAGAGAGCTGCTGGGTATTGGCGATGTTCTAGTTGTGGATCAGGATGATGGTGGCACAGCCTTAGCTTTGTGATGACTGAGCTGTACATTTTTTTTTTTTTTGAGACAGAGTCTTGCTCTGTTGCCCAGGCTGGAGGGCAGTGGCACGATCTTGGCTCACTGCAACCTCCTCCTCCCGGGTTCAAGTGATTCTCCTGCCTCAGCCTCCCGAGCAGCTGGGACTATAGGTGTGCGCCACCACGCCCAGCTAATTTTTTGTATTTTTTAGTAGAGACGGGGTTTCACCATGTTGACCAGGATGATCTTGATCTCTTGAGCTCAGGGGATCCGCCTGCCTCGGCCTCCCAAAGTGCTTGGATTACAGGCGTGAGCCACCATGCCGGGCCGAGCTGTACATTTTTTGGTGTGCACTTTTCCATGTGCATGCTATACTTCAATTTAAACAATTTAAAAGCAACAAGTGCTCATAGAAACTTTGGAAAATATGAAAAAGAAGTAAATAATTCATCTACAATCTCATTGAACCTAAGACAATGATTAAAAAGCATTTGTGGCTGGGCATGGTGGATTGCGCCTGTAATCCCGGTACTTTGGGAGGCAGAGACAGGTGGATTGCTTGAGCCCAGCAGTTCGAGACCAGCCTGGGCAACATGGTGAAACCCCATCTCTACTATATATATATATATATATTAGCTGGGTGTGGTAGCATGTGCCTGTAGTCCCAGCTACTCTGGAGGCTGAGGTAGGAGGATCGCTTGAGCCTGGGAGGTTGAGGCTACAGTGAGCCAATATCATGCCACTGCACTCCAGCCTGGGTGACCTGGGGAACAGAGCAAGACCCTGTCTCAAAATAATAATAATGATAATAATAAGCATTTGGACTTAATTTTTGTTTGTTTGTTTGTTTTGAGACAGAGTCTCACTCTATAGCTCCGGCTGGAGTGCGTGACATGATCTTGGCTCACTGCAACCTCTGTCTCCCAGATTCAAGTGATTCTCCTGCCTCAGCCTCCCAAATAGCTGGGATTACAGGTGTGTACTCAGCCAAATTTTTGTATTTTTAGTAGAGACGGAGTTTCACCATGTTGGCCAGGTTGGTCTCAAACTCCTGATCTCAAATGATCTGCCCGCTTTGGCCTCCCAAAGTGCTGGGATTACAGGTGTGAGCCACCATGCCCAACCTCCTTTATTTTCTTGTTGTGTTCATTTTACTTGGTGATTATAGTTATAAAAAGCATTTGATGCACTGCTCTTTTGCTTGGCATTTAATCTCAAGCATTTTCCGATGGTTTTACGTAATGGTGACAGTGGCCTCTGTTGATGGAGCACTGGTTCATGCTCAGCACCATGCAGGCCTCCCCACTCCACTGGTGGACACACCATGGTTTACCCACCCCTGCCCCCTTGTCAGGATTGTAGGTTGTATGCAAAACTAGCATCCAGTCTGGGATTCAGATTTATTTTTAAGGCCGGGTGCAGTGGCTTATGCCTGTAATCCCAGCACTTTGGGGGGCCAAGATGGGCAGATCACTTGAGATCAGGAGTTCAAGACCAGCCTGGCCAACGTGGTGAAGCCCTGTCTCTACTAAAAATATAAAAATTAGCCAGGCATGGTGGCACGTGCCTGTAATCCCAGCTACTTGGGAGGCTGAGGCAGGAAAATTGTTTGAACGTGGGAGGCGGAGGTTGCAGTGAGCTGAGATCGTACCACTGCCCTCCAGCCTGGGCGACAGAGTGAGACTCCGTCTTAAAAAAAAAAAAAAGATTTATTTTTAAACAATACTACAAAAGGCACACCTTCAAGGTTTTCAATGTTCTCATTTGAGGAATTATTTAGAGCTCTTGATTTTTTAACTTTGAGCGGCTAAACGTTTCCCTCCCTGGACTTGAGAATGAAATGCCAGAAGTGGAATGGATGAGAACTTCTGGAGAGCGGGGGAAGGTCCTCT
This sequence comes from Homo sapiens, assembly GCF_000001405.40. Classification (NCBI taxonomy): domain Eukaryota; kingdom Metazoa; phylum Chordata; class Mammalia; order Primates; family Hominidae; genus Homo; species Homo sapiens. The sequence continues at coordinate 77,228,354 of NC_000014.9, read as the reverse complement.
TGCACTGCCTGAGGCGGGGTGAGGTCCAGGAGCCTCCAATCAGGTGGAGAGAGCAGAGGGCTGGACAGGACTGGATGGCACTGAGAGCACTAGAATTCTCTTCCTGGGCCAGGAATTCCTGCCTCCACCACTAGGCCTGTTTCCTTTCTCCATCTTTCTTGTAAGTGCCCCACCCTGACCTTCCAGCCAATCGCCCTTCTTCCTACTCACAATTAATTCTCTGTCTCTGCTCTCATTGCTTCCCTTCCTTCCACCTCTTTCTGAAGACGTGCTGGATCCATTGTTCTGCTCTCTCATCTTCGGCATCCTCCTCTCTCTGCATGCACCTGCGTCCACCCACACCTCTTCCCTGTAAACTACAACCAGGCTCAAGTGCTTGTTGGTTCCTCTGTAATAAAACAGCTCCTCAAGGATCCACTCTCTGATCTGTTCCCTGACCTGTTTTCCCTCCTCCTTCCAGTAGCTTCACTTCCCTCCTTCCATGCACCTCTGGAAAAAGGTGACCTTCCTTCTCTGCCTCTGTGTCTTGGACATCCTATCCTCGGCCTGCCCTCCCAACAGAGACCCAACTCACCAAAGTCAATGTCCTTTCCTCAACCCCCATTCTACTCCACCTCTGTAGCACTAGAGGTTTCTGGGTCGCCCCACCCTAGAGGGGAGCCTTGTCCTGGCCTGGCTTCACTGAGTCCAGCCCAGAGGATGCCTCTTCCTCCCGCCTCGATGAGGCACTCCCTTGGGCCGCTTCTGGTCTTACATCCTTGGATGACCCATCTGCTCCCATGACTTCAACTACAGCCTCCATGCACCATCTCCCAAGTTGAAATCTCTAACTCTGACCTTTCTCCTAGGCTTCAATCTTGTTTTTTCAACAGCTCCTTTGTCAGCTTGCATACTTGCCCTGACTACATCTCATCATTTTGTGTTTCCTCTCCCACCTAATGGCATTACTACCCTCCCCAGAAACCAGACCTCAATTTCTCCCTCTTTCTTAACTAGGCCACAACCTACTGACTGTAGCCTTATGATCTCCCTCCCATCTTCCCCTCCCATTGTTTCTCTAGTCACTGCCCCGGTTCAGGTCACTAGCACCTCCCACCTCGACCATTGGAATAGCCTCCTTAACTGCTCACCTTGACTTTGGACTTTCTCTAATGCCATTCACTCTCCATACTTCTGCCTACACACATATATTGTTCTGAGTTTCCAGCTTAAAAATACTAATTGGCTCTCTACTGTCTCTAGATGAAAGCCCAAGATTCTCAGTATGCCAGCCAAGGTCCCAGCTGAGGCCCAGTGCGGTGGCTCATGCCTGTAATCCCAGCACTTTAAGAGACTGAGGCAGGTGGATCACCTCAGGTCAGGAGTTTGAGGCCAGCCTGGCCAACATGGTGAAACCCCGTCTCTACTAAAAATACAAAAATTAGCTGGACATGGTGGCACGTGCCTCTAATCCCAGCTACTCGGGAGGCTGAGGCAGGAGAATTGCTTGAACCCAGGAGGCGGAGGTTGCAGTGAGCTGAGATTGTGCCACTGCACATCACCCTGGTGACAGAGAGATATTCTGTCTCAAAAAAAAAAAAAAAAAAATCCCAACTGATCCTTCCAGCCCAATCTTTTACCCTCCCCCGCCACACTTACCATGAAACCTTGCTTCTAGTCACACCAGATTTACCATGTCTGTGCACACCCTACTCATCTCTGCAACAAACTGGCTCACACGGTCCTTTACTTCTGATGTGCCCTCCACATCCCACATCGCGCCTGTCGAAACTCTTCCTGTCCTCCAATGCCCAGCTCAAAACTATACTTTTCCAGTTGGAATTAATTTCTCTCTTCCCCACATGCCGTCTGCACAGCAATTATAACCCTCCCATTCTGAATGCTACGAAGGGAGTCTTGTTCACCTTTGTTTCTCCAACCAGACCGCATGGGTTTGTGCACGGGGACGCTACTTGACTTATTGCTGCTCAGTAAACGCATTAAGCTGTCTTCTATGACACTGCTCTCAAGAGCTGCTGGATGCACGGTGCAATGCCCTGCCTTCCTGCTTTCCCAGATGCTGGGTCCCTGACAGAGGGGCCTCTGTGATAGGAGTCTTTGGGTAGGGGTGGGGTGGAGGGGTTTAAAGGATGGGCAGGACAGGACAGGTGGAGCACACTGAGGGAGAGCCCATGAGTGTGTGGGGTCTGAGGTGGAGGCAGAGCTGTGTGCACACGTGTACGTGTGTGTGCGTGTATGTATGAGTGTGCATGTGTGTATGCCTACGCAGTGGGAACATAGAGTTCCGGTAAGTGTCTGCTCTGCTGAAGCGTCTGGCTGGTGTTGGGGAATCAGGAGAAAACACGTAACTTGAGGTCAGCTTGCAGGAGAAAACAGGTGACTTGGGGGCTGCTTGCTTGCAAAGTGGGGTCTGGCATTCAAGAAACCCACAAGGTGAGGTGGGCAAGGGCTGCCCCTCTGCTCTCCAGGCACTGAGGCCGAGCGAGGCCTGCCCTTCTGCCCGATGTTTGCTTGGGCAGAAGGGCGAACACATGATATGTTGAATGATGTTCACAGAAATCAAGCAGATAGCACAAAGGAAGGGTTTCTTTTTCCTGGTGTGGAGTTCACAGAAGCATTTCTATAAGCACGCGAGTAATGATTCAGCTATTAAAAGTGGTCCTTCCCTAAGGACTGAGGCAGAGATAACAGGGGCAGTGGGCTGTGCCCAGTTCTCACGTCACCAACTGTACCCCAGGAAAGCATCCTTCACTGGTAATGGGCCGAGGTGGCGGGGAGGATACGGAGCTCAGGCCCTGTCTTCCCAGGCTGGGGGCTGCTAACTTTTCCAGGAGCCTCCACCCCCCACCCCCAAGGCAACACGGTCACAAGCTCACAGAGCCCGGGCACTTACTTCATTGTTATGCTGTTGAAGAACCAGGAACAGAATCCCTGCGGGGAAAGGAGAGAAACTGTGAGAAAACCCAGGTCCTGGCCTGCCCTGCCCAGCTCTGGGAACCCAGGCGGCCAGGTCATCTGAGGCAGCCGCGGCAGCGTCCGGGGCCTCCTTCCTGGGAAAAAGAGTCTGAAGGCTCAGCTGGGAACCAGTGGTGACTGTGGAGGGAGATGCTTCCCTGGAAATGAGTGGACATCTCTGCCCTCCTGTTATAGGAAATGGGGTTTAGAAGGTGACCCTTGAACTGGAGGGGGAGAAGTGACTGCTTCTGGGGTGAACGTCTGTTGCTCTCTGTCTGTCCTTCATGCTTCCTTCTGGAAATGTCCTTCACTGGATGCGTGTGGTCCAGTGGGCTCCTACTCTTACTCTGTCCGAGTGGGAGTTTGCCTCCAGTGATTGACTGGCCAATGGGAACTTTACCCAAGTGGGGCCAATTAAAATTTCCTTAAGGAAGCCAGGCATGGTGGCTCACACTTGTCATCTCAGCAGCTCAAGAGGCTGAGGCAGATGGATCACTTGAGCCCAGGAGTTTGAGTCCAGCCTGGGCAACACAGCAAGACCCCACTTATTAAAATTAAAAAAAAAAATCCCTTAAGGGGATTGATATGGGTGTTGCAAGGAGGAAGGTCTCTTTCCCTCTGAATTCCTGCACCTCAGTAAACATCATGAAACCTGGCGTGGTTTGGTGGCATCTTTGATGCCATGTGCTGAGGGTCCTGTCCGGTTGAGGCCTTTCTCTTGGGGTCTTGCTGTCTGGAGTTTCTGGGTGGTGGGGAAAGGTGGCCTTAGCCATGGGGAGATTGGTGGGGGACTAGAGAGAGAGTCATCTTTGGAACGGTGTGTAAGAGAGGGGGCTGGGGCCTGCAGCTCTAAAAGCTGCCAGCTCTGGTAGCTGGTGAAGTTACTCTGGTGCCTGCTTCCTTCTGGGATCCCAGAGGACTTAGCAAAACCTTGCACAAGGTTACAGCTCTAGATTGGCCCCATTTGGGTCATGTGCACTTCTGTGAACCAGGCAGACCTCTTGATTGATAGTCCTCTGGAACCACATGGACTGGGGAAGAGGTACTTCCCAAAAGGAAGCAACTATCAGCCAACCTGACACAGGGAAGGAAACTTAGAAGGCGGGCCTTATGCCGAGGGGAGCAAAGGACATCTGTTTCTTTTTTGCCTGTCCTCGTTGCTTCCTTTTGAGAAGGCACAAAAGAAATAGAAGTCCCTTGCTCCCCTCGGCATAAGTCCCACCTTCTAAGTCCCCTTCCCTGTGTTGGGTTGGCTGATGGTGACAATGGCCACTCGAGGGTGTTCACAGCAGGACATTCCTCCAGCTATGCCCTGGGGAGCTAAATTAAGGATAAATGTTCAGGTGTGAGTCAGAGCAAGGAAGGGAAATAGCATGGTGGTGGCAGCAGCAGTGGGGAGCATCCCCAGGGAGGGGTAACTAGCAAAGCAGAGCTGGGCCGAGAGAGGTCCAGCCACCCCTCCTGCATGAAGAGTCTGTCTCCATGGCTCAGCTGGGCAAACAGGGTGCAACTGACTAAGGGAACAAGTAGCTTTCTTGATGGTCCCTCATGATTAGGTACCACTGGGGACACATCTTCCTGGGAATGTGTTTCTGCCCCTTCCACTACAGGTGCACAGGTGTATACTGGAATAGACAGAGGATGGGTCATCCAGGAAAGGGCAGAGGTCATGAGTAGAAGCGTGGCCATGAATATCCTGTGTGGATCTCTCTCTCTCTCTCTGTCTCTCTCATGTGTGTGTGCACACACATACACACACACACACTCCCTCCCCTGAGTACACATTATCGCTCTGAAGGCATAAACCATTCAGAAAGCTCAGCAGCTGAACAGCCACATGAGAGGCAGATACAGGGCTGCAGTTCCCAGGAGCCAGCTCAGCTGACGTGACAGAGTGACAGCTGTCAGTTCACTTCACCTATCTGAGCCCCCGCCACCTGGGGGTAACAGTACCTGACCCAACTTGCTCAGGGAACCATGGTGAGACCCATTTTCTTCACCCACACCACCTGGCTCTGGCTGAAGGCTCCCCATCCTGGCTGGACACTGTGGGGGCCACCTCACTGAACTCTCTGTTCTCCATTTAATTTAATTTACGCCCTCTTCAGTTTGTCCCCCTCACTGCTGCCATAAGGATTTATCTTCTTAGATTTTTAAAAATAAAACTTTTTTTGTCATTGTAACAAGAAAAAAAAAATCAAAGTGATATTTCCAAGAATAAACCTGCGAGCCACCTTGCAAGGTAGATGTTGCTGCCTTTTTTCTATCCAGGAAGCCTTCAAGAGATGAAGTCACTTGTCTGAGGCTCTGCACTTTGGAGAGGGCAGATTCTAGCAAGTGAAGGACCCCGCCTCTCGAGGGATGACAATGGAAGGAATTTGGCTCCGCTTACTTAGCGCAACTGACAAATATGCATCAGATGCTAAGTACATGGCAGGCTGGATTGGATGTGGGGTGCAGTGGTGAGCAAATCCAAGTTCAGGGCCTGCGGAAAGCAGACACACTAGACTGATCTTGCAGATGAGGGATCGTTACAGACAGGGTTAAAAATGTTGAAGAAAAGGAATGCATTTTCTGTGGCTATATAACAAGAGATCTGGACCCAGGAGGGGTGGTCAGGGCTCCCTGGGGAAGTGTGCTTAAGCTGAAATCTCAACAAAAGGTGAGTGACTCAGAGAAGGGCCACTGCGGAAGGGGGAGAGGGAAGAGCCTGGGAAAGGGCTGGTGGAGGGAAGCAGGTGGCCCTGTTGAGAAGCTAAACGGTGGACTCATGTGGCAGGGATAGGGGAGTTGGGAGGAGTAAGGGAGGATGGACCAAACTACCAGGCCACGGCACAGCATCTGCAATTGATTCCACAGGCCCTAGGAAGACAGTGAAGGTCTCTGCAGCAGAATATATGTCCCCAGGCAGGGGAATCTCTCTGGATGCAGGTGGAAAATGGATAAGGGCCCTAGAGCGTGGACCTAAAGGGATCAGTTAGAGCTACTGCAGTTGTCCAGGCAAGAGGCTGATGGAGGCCTGGACCAGGGGATGGTAGGAGTGATGGAGAGAAAGAAAGCTGGGAAGGTCAAAGCAACACAACGTGGAGACACATTGGCTATGCTTGGGGACCTGGGTAAGAGGGAGAGGAGACCCTGGGGAGAATGGTGGGAGGTCTGAGACCAAGGTCAGAGGAACAGGTGGGTGTGTGGTGGGATATCATGAAATGTTTTGGACAAATGGAACCCCAAATGACTACAATATCCATATGGAGGTATTTTGAAAGGCATTGAATAATCAGGCTGGGGCCCAGTGGGAGAGGATTAGCTGGAGACAGGAATTTAAAAGTTTATGTGTAGAGATGGCAAAGGAAGTTGTCAGTGTGGGTGTCATTGCCCAGGAGTCAGGGTGAGGGGAAGGATATGGGATCAGCTGGTTGGGGGGACTCCCGGTGTGGAGGAGAAGTCTGCTAAGGAGACACAGGAGGAGCAGACAGAGAGGCAGAAGGAAAACCCAAAGAATGTGACATCACCTATGCAACGGAGAGCACCTGTGCAAGAGAGAAAGACGGTCTACAGGGTCAGACGTTTCAGAGAACGCAGGCAAGATGTGAACTGAGAAAAGTCCATTGGATTTAGCGGTGGGGGGAACCACTGCTGACCTTCAGGGTTGTCTGGGTGGAGTGAGGGACGGGAGCTCACATTTGAGGAGGTTGAGGCGTGAGTGGGAGAGGAGGCATGAGTGGGAGAGGAGGCGTGGGTGGGAGGGGAGGTGTGAGAGGGAGGGGAGGTGAGAGTGGGAGGAGTGGGAGGCAACGAGTGAGTGGGGGGCAGGCTTGGTGGGAGGGGGGCATGAGTGGGAGGGGAGGCATGAGTGAGAGGCGAGAGGGGGAGGGGAGGCGCTAGAAGGAGGGGAGGCGAGAGTAGGAGGGGAGGCGTGAATGGGAGGCGTGAGTGGGAGGGGAGGTGTGAGTGGGAGGTGAGTGGGGAGGGGAGGCGTGAGTGGGAGAGGAGGCATGAATGGGAGGCGTGAGTGGGAGGTGAGGCATGAGTGGGAGGGGAGGCGTGAGTGGGAGGGGGCGTGAGTGGGAGGTGAAGCGTGATTGGGAGGCGAGAGGGGGAGGGAAGGCGTGAGTGGGAGGGGGGCGTGAGTGGGAGGCGGGGCGTGAGTGGGAGGTGGGGCGTGAGTGGGAGGGGAGGCGTGAGTGGGAGGCGGGGTGTGAATGAGAGAGGAGGTGTGAGTGGGAGGTGGGGCATGAGTGGGAGGGGAGGCGTGAGTGGGAGGTGGGGTGTAAGTGAGAGAGGAGGCGTGAGTGGGAGGCAGGGCATGAGTGGGAGGGGAGGCGAGAGTGGGAGGGGAGGCGTGAGTGTGAGGGGGCGTGGGTGGGAGGGGAGGCGAGAGTGGGAGGGGAGGCGAGAGTGGGAGGGGGCGTGGGTGGGAGGGGAGGCGAGAGTGGGAGGGGAGGCGAGAGTGGGAGGGGAGGCGTGGGTGGGAGAGGAGGCGTGAGTGGGAGGCGGGGCGTGAGTGGGAGGCGGGGCGTGAGTGGGAGGCGGGGCGTGAGTGAGAGGTGAGGAAGTGGTGACAGCAGCATGGGCCACTGTCAGTTCAGCTGTGTGTGGGGGTGGGGAGGGAGGACGTTCTCAGGGCTCCCTCTCAGAGTATTCAGGGCCCCGCCGAAATGTCACCACTACCCGAGACCATCTCTGACCTCCTCCTGTGGCGTTCTCCACCATGCCTCTGTCTGGTCGTCTCCCCTGCCTGGGGAAGACAGCGCCATGAGGCAGGACTTGGTCCCCAGCTCCCAGACCAGTGGCTGGCACACAGCAAGTGGCTGAAGGAATGCATGAGTCGGGTGGAGGGCTGGCCTTCACCAGGGAAGAGGAGGAAACAGCAGACTGCGCTCCACTAAACAGGGCTGGGAAGCCTGAGGCTGAGGGAATCCCTACCACATGACTAGAATCTTCTATGTGAAATGGGAGGTGAGGCCTTGATTCAGAGTCAGAGGTAGGGACGTGGGCAGGACGGGACTGTGAGAAGGGTTGGAGATTTGAGCAGAGAAGACAAATTAATGTTAAAAATCTCTCTAAGATATCTTAATTCGTTAACACTTACTTGGCACCCTAGTAGTAGGTATGGTCAATAACTCCATCTTTCAGGTGGGGAAACTGAGTCTGGGGGAGGCTGAGGAATTTGCTCAAGGTCACACTGCCAGAGTGGTTGAGGCTGGCTGATTACAAAGCCCCAAGGTCTAAGCCGTGTTTCTTCCTGTGCACACCACGCCTGCCTGCCCAGTGCTGGGACTCCCACCGCCCAGACCGCTCCCAGCACTCACCTTGTCTCTGCGTTCCATCTCCAAGGAAGTCTCCGAGGGAGATGTCTTCTCGCTCTGCTCCCCATAGATCAGCGAGGTCAGGCTGCCAGCCAGGGAAGGGGCAGGGAGGTAAGAAAGGAGAGAAAAGTTCTCAGCTGCCTGCCCTGCTCCCTCCCCACTCCCTGGCTGAGGGCTGCCCTCTGCTCTGCCACGGGCAGGCGCTCCTCAGCTCCTTTGCTGAGCACACAGCTCTGGGCACAGACAGCAATCGCCCCTGTGCCAGGTACACCAGGCATCTGGGAGTTCAGCCACGTGATCCAGAAAGTCTAAGACCAGAGAAAAACACGGCCTTGTGCCCAGGGATGGCTGCCCTCCAAGTCCCCTTCCTGCAGGGAGGGCAGAGCAGGGGCAGAGGCCACTTGCTGGCGAGACACCTGCTGCAGCTCGGGCGCTGGGCAGAGCTGCGTCCTGGCCATGGCAACAGGTTTTCCCCAAGGGGGCAACGGCTCACCCATCTCGACCCCTCCTCACCTGTCATTGTGTATCAGCAGAGCCAGGCGCCCATAGTCCCACGCAGCTTTCCGGAGGAAGGAGTAAACCACAAGGACGAGCTACAGGCCAGGAAAAGCAATGTGGGGTGGGAGACTTCATGGATCCCTTCCCCTTGGCTGGCCCCCTGCATTCCCTTGGGGGAGACCCTGTCCCTGAGGTCCCCAGGGAGCTCCTCCACTAGAAGGTGAGCTCTGTTGGAGTAGGGGCCATTCCTTTCAACTGTAGGTTGCCAGCGCCCAGCAGCTTCTGGGCACAGAGTGGATGCTCAGAGTTCATTGAATGGAGCTGGAGGCATGTTCAGATCTATGGGACCAGAATGTGCCTTGAAGACCTCAGCAATGAGAAAGAGGAAGGAGGCCAGGTGAACCTCTGGACAATGATGCACAGAAAAGAATCCCAGGAATTCTGCCTGTTCCTCCAGCCTCTTTGAGGCCCACCTACCGGGGCCACCCTAGGCAGGACTGACATTCAGGCAGTTTGTATCAATGTTGTTGTTGTCCATTTGGACAACTGGGTCCCCCACTGCATCACCTGTGAAAGTTCGACCCTGTCTGAGGCTTTACTGTCTGCCTCCTGCAGTGCCCAGGACTCACCACCCACAGGGCGATGTTGAGGCACAGCACGGTGGGGACACCCCCAAAGGGCTGCCCCTGGAGGACGGTGTTCCGAGACTGGAAGCATTCATCCACTGTCATGTTCTGTAACCTTCCCCCTGTACTCAGGTCGTCTGGTGAGGCAGACATCCTGGGAGGATCCCTGGGAAACAGAGGGCATCCAGGTCAGATGCAAAGACTCCCTTGCATTTTGCAAAACACAGAAGCCCGATGGGGAGTTGTGGGATGGGCACCGAGTGCCTCGGCCAGGCTAGGCCACTTCAGACCCAAGACAGGAGGGCCAGCCCACGAGACGGCACACAGCCCTGTCCTGCAAGAGAACAGCTGCCTCAAACCCAAGGCCGGGATGACAGACTGGTTCTCGTTTCCTGGGAGAGTTCTTATTTTGTACCACTGGATCCCTGAAACAAGAGTTGTAAAATGCACATCCAAATGTGCATTTTTCCAGTTCTACCTTGGGAAGTTTTTGTTGTATATAAATGAACAAATTTCACAAATGTGGGTCAGACCCCAGTGTGGAAATGTTCAGGTTGGAAGTCAAAACCGCTGTGTTCACGGAACGCCCATGCAGACGGGGCTCAATGACAATCATCTCTGCATTCAGCAATCTCTGATGCAGTCACCATCCAGCCATGGTAAGGGCCATAGCTCCTAGGGAATGCAGTGCCTGGCATGTGCAGTGACTCAAGAAACACCCCCCTCTTTTTTTTTTAACTTCTGTGGGTACATAGTAGGTGTATATATTTATGGAGTACCTGAGATGTTTTGATACAGGCATGCAATGAGATATAAGCACATCAGGATAAATGAGGTATCCATCCTTTCGAGCATTTATCCTTTGGGTTACAAACAATCCAATTATACTCTTTCAGTTGTTTTAAGGTGTACAATTAAATTATTTTTGACTATAGTCACCCTGTTGTGCTAGTAAATACTAGATCTTATTCATTCTGTTTTTTGTACATATTAAGCATCCCCACTCCCCACCACCCTCATATCCTTCTAAGCCTCTGGTAACCATCCTTCTACTCTCTATCTCCATGAGTTCAATTGTTTTAATTTTTTTGCCCCCACAAATAGCTGGAAATATGTGGAGTTTGTTATTTCTATGCCTGGCTTAGAAAGGTCTCTGTCTTCCAGGCATTTGAACTAGGGAGACCAGGACCTGCCCAGGGACCTGAGCCAACTCCGTGAGCCTGAACATTTTGGTGAGACACCAATGCAGAGCCTGCCGTCCCTGGCATCACATTCCTCAGGCATGGATAACAGTGGGAAGGGCAGGTGAAAATGGGAGGTGTCCGGTAGCTACTTGAACTTATCTGCAAGGTGGTTGTTCTCTCAAAAGATCATTCATTTTGCCTTCAGACCTCACCTCTACCTGGAAACCCTTCACTTCCATTCGAGAAAAGTAGACTCATTCATCCATTCATTGATGCATTTGAATATTTGGTGGGCAACTGCTTTATGCTAGACAAATGCACCAGTGAACAAGATAAATAAAAATCCCTCCCTTGTGGGATTCTACTGGGGAGACAAAGTGGAGGGATGAGGGTGAGGTTAGAATTGTAAAGGGGTGATTAGGGAATTCCTCACTGAGAGAATGACATCTGAGCAAGGACTTGAGGGAGTGAACCATGCAGCTGTTGGGGAAAGAGCACTTTAAGTGGAGGAGAGGCCCTGGGCTTCGAGCTTGCCCGGAGAGTTGGGGAAGCAAGCAGACCAGTGGGCTGCACAGGGCAGGGCAAAGGGCATGGGGAGTGAGCCATGGAGTGAATTAAAATGACTTTTTTTTTTTAAGAGAGAGATAGAGCCTCACTCTGTCACGGTGGCACAATCATAGCTCACTGTAGCCTCCAATTCCTGGGCTCAAGCAATATTCAAGAGTAGCTGGGACTACAGGTGCATGCCACCACACCAGGCTAATTCTTAAAATTTTTTGATAGAAACAAGGGTCTCACTATGTTGCCCAGGCTAGTCTCAAACTCCTGAATTCAAGTGATTCTCCTGCCTCGGACTCCCAAAGTGCTGGGATTACAGGCTTTAATGAGATCTCTTTGATCCTCATATGGAGACTAGGTGGGGGAGCAGGAGGGGTGAACAAGTGGAGAAGTAGATGCGGAGAGCTCGGCCAGGGTCCGGGCAGGAGACAATGGTAGCCTGGACTGGGATGGGCGCAGTGGAGGTGAGAGACGTGCTCAGATTTTGGAAATATTCTGAATGTGGAGCCAACAAGATTTGCCGGCAGATTAGATAGGGGATGTGAAAGAGTGAGAGGAGTCGAGGATGACTCTCAGGTTTTTGGCCTGAGCCACTGGAAGATAGAGTTGCTGTTATGGAATGGGAGAGGCAGAAAGTGCAGGATGGAAATGGACAGTAGAGGTGGAGGGGGAGTGCGTGCAAGGGTGAAACCAAGAGTTGAGTTTGGAACATGCTAAGTGGGGACGGGGAGCAGGGATTTGGATAGGTTAGTCTGCAGTTCAGAAAAGAGACTGGAGACATAAATGTGAGACAAAAGCCACTGGCATAGCGACAACTCTTCGAGGCAAAGCCCTGAATTACAGAAGAGAATGTAGTGAGAGGAGAGATCCAAGGTGGGAGCCTCGGGGTGCGCCAATATCTACAGGGCAGGGGAGGAGGAAACAGAGAAGGAGACTGAGAAGTAGCAGCCAGTGAGGAAGGAGGAAAAGCAGGAGAGGGTGGTGTCCTGGGTTGAATGAAGACAATGTTTCCAGGAGGAGGGAGGAACCAGTGTTGATGTGGTCAAGAAAGATGACAACTGTGAATGAGCCATGGTTGCTCTCTCTCTCTCTCTCTCCCTCCCTCCTTCCTTCCTTCCTTCCTCTCTCTTTTCTACCTTCCTTCCTCTCTCTCTATCTCCCTCTCTATCTCTCTTTCACTTGAGGCACGAGCCACTGCGCCCAGCCAAATTAGCCATGGTTTAAGCCATGTGCAGGTGGCCAGACTGGAATAGGCTCCAGAGAGAATGACAGGAGAGGAATTGGAGCCAGTGGGCAAAAACAGCTCTCTGGAAGAGTAATTGGAGGTGAAAGTGGTTAAGACGGGAAAAATAACACATTGTATAGTGGTGGGAATGATTCAGTAGAAGAAGTAGGAGGAGGGGGGAACTGCTGGAGCAAAGTGAGACTGCGGGAGGCTTGGGAACTAGTGCACAGTGGAGATGTTTACTGAGAGTCAGGCTGTTGGCTGGGTGAGTGGGAGGGAAGGCAGCACACATGCTCAGGTGCTGGCTGGTCCCAGGAGTGGCGGCGGCAGCCAGTGAGTGTTCTGTCCTTACTGCTTCTAGTTTCTTTTTCTTTTCTTTTCTTTTTTTTTTTTTTTTTTGAGACAGAGTCTCACTCTGTCGCTTAGGCTGGAGTGCAGTGGCACCATCTTGGCTAACTGCAACCTCTGCCTCCAGGGTTCAAGCAATTCTGCTACCTCAGCCTCCTGAGTAGCTCGGACTACAGGTGCCCACCACTACACTTGGCTAAATTTTGTATTTTTAGTAGAAATGGGGTTTCACCATGTTGGCCAGGCTGGTCTCAAACTCCTGACCTCAGGTGACCCACCCACCTCGGCCTCCCAAAGTGCTGGGATTACAGGTGCGAGCCCCCATGCCCAGCCTTGCTTCAGGTTTCTCAGTAAAAGAAGGAATGAGGTCTCAGCCCAGTGTGAGGTGGTGGTGGTGGGCGGATGTTGGATGTTTGGTGACAGGAAAAAAAGGTAGAAATAGAAGTCTAGGGGAATAAGAGAGGATGGATTACGGAAATGGAGCAGGATTGCCAGGCAACAATGGGGCCTGTGGAGGCTCATGATCTTGAATTGACGAGAGCAGCCAGACTTGCTGTGCTGGATTCACCTGTATGGTTGCAGGTGTGGAAGACTTAGTAGGGGTAGAGGCTTCCCCCCAGCAAGTATGAGCATAACACAAGAGGGTTGAGGGTGTAGCAGGTGAATAATTGTAATGATTTGCTGTGGAATTTGAGCCAGGAGAGAAATAAGATGCAAGATGGGTGAGGACCAGGGAAAGCTACTGGAGTTCCAAGGGGAGGTAGAAGAATTGTGGACGGCTAGTAAGTGTAGAGCAGAGGGAGTGGCATGCTGAAAGTGGGATGTTTGGTGCTGAAATGAAAGAGATTCCGGCTATCGGTGGTGATCGGGTCTAGGACATGACCGTGGGAGCGAGCGGCTGAGTATCAGAAGGATCATCTTTGTGGAGATGTGGACATTGACATCAGCAAGAATGAAGACAGGAAAAAAACTGGGGAGACAGTGAGGGGGGAAGGGGAGAGTGGCCTGGGGGACTCCTTGATGACTAACAACGATGGGCAGCAAGATGTCTAGGTTGACACCTGTGGGTCCAAGACAGGGGGCTCTAGAAAGCAGGGAGGAAGAGTCTCAATGTTGCCAAGGGGAACAAGAAAGACACGTCTCCATCCCCAGGCCAGTGGTGTTGGAGGGGAAGCAGGAACCACCCTCTGAGAGGGTGGAAAGGGAAGCTGGACTGGGGAGTCTCCCAGTCGGAGGGTGAGGAGACCGAGGAGCTGGGGATGCTTCTGGGGATTACAGGTTCCGTGCCACTGAATCTCAGCTCCAACGCTCACTCATCGCTCATCGGGTGACCTTGAGCAAGGCACTTACAGTCCCCATGCCTCACTTTACTCCTCTGTAAAGTGGAAATGGCAACAGCCATTAGTACCCACTTCACAGGGCTCTTAAGAGGAGTGTTAGGATGTGTTCATCTTGTAGAACAATGCCTGGAACACAAGGAGCATCACATAAATATTTGCAAAATGAAGAATGGAGATCCAGGGGGCACCATGGAAAGGTTTCAGGAGTTGGGGAGGGCTGAGAGATGGGGATGGAGAAGGAATGAAGGTAAAGGGATTGAAGCAGGGGACAGGAGGTGGCCTGGGAGTCTGGGCTGCTTGTGCTCACTCCCAGAACCTGCGATGGAGGGCCTGAGAGTAGTCCTGGAAACAGAAGGGGTGCACAAAACTCCTCCCACTCCCACCCTCTAGATTAGCATCTAGCAGGATCCGGGAGTCTCTTGCCTGTCTTTCTCAGTTCCCCTAATTCCTGCTCCATCGAGCTCTGCCTAGGCCACCCATAGTTTTCTTGTTTCTACCCCAGGTGGCTAATTAACTCACTAGCACGTTTAGCCAGATGCAAACTCATAATAGTTTACATCGAACACAGTACACTTCAACGGCATGCCTTCTGCCAGAGCATCAGAGTAGCAGCCAATGGCATTTCTAGGGTCTCTTGGAGGAAGGAGCTGGCATCTGAGCTACCTCGGGCTCCAGGTCAGCTAAGGCAGGAGGCTGCAGTTCTGCTGGTGGTCATTGGGAGGAGCCCGCGCGAAGGAAGCGGGCGGGGGAAGGTGTAGGAAGGCGATCCTGCAGGTGGAGAGGCCCGGGGAGACTTTTCCCACCTGAGTCACTTCTCCAGTGAAGGTCCACGTCAGGCCCGGAGGCTCCACCCAGCTACGGGGCTGCTGCAAAAGAACACACGCGGTGGAGAGACCACAAGACTTACAGACCCAGGAACTCCCTTGCTGGCAGCACCCTCCTTCAGGGCCCCTTTGGTCATCTTTATGCTCAAATGCACGTCCTTTATCAGAGCTCTGCTTTGCAAATAGTTTCCCCCTGGCCTATTGCTTTTCTTTTAATTGTCTTGATGGTGTCTTTTGAAGTGTAAAAGTTTTGAATTTTGACAAAGTGACCTCCAAGCTGAGATGTGAAAGGGGTGTAGGAGTTAGTCCTGTGCAATGGGCAAGCGTGGGCAGAGGCACCCGTGTTGGCAAAGACCTAGAGGGAAGGCTGAATATAACGTTTTGAGGAAATGAAAATGAATGGCAGTGGCTACAGTGTAGAATAGACCACTATTGGTTCATTCATTCATTCATTCAACAAGAATTCATTGAGTATCTATTTCCCCTGGAAGTACAAACATGAGGTCCTCTCTAGGGAGTTCACATCCCAGCCTTTGGGGTTAGGGAGAGGACTGCTGTTGGGCGGCTTGGACCAGGTGGCCCTTCTGCCTGGGAGGACCCCTAGTTACAAGGCCCCAGCCACTAAGCTTGGAGTTGGGCAGGAGGTGGGGAATTCCATCCAGCAGGTTGGTCAGGTGCAGGCTTTCAGCTCAACCTGGCTGCTCAACCTGCAGGGCAGTGAGGGAGGAAAAGAAAGGAGACAAGATCCTCACCCTCTCCCACCTCACCACCCTCCTCAGCTTTCCCAGGCAGCAAGCAGAGGCAGTAATGAGGGAGGCTGTTGCCATGGAAACCTAAAGCAGCACCAAGCCTTTTCTCTGCATCCCTTCACCCTCCCTGGACCATACTTCTTTCTGGAGGGAGAGCTAGCTCTTGGGTGTGAAGAAGACAGGCAGAAAATCCAGATTTTGGCTTACTGGAGACTAAAGCACCAGCACTGGAAAGAATGAAGCTAGAAACTCTAGGATGTCAACAGAAAACACAGCAGGGCCACCAGCCCAGCAGGGCGTAGCGGGGGCATCAAAGAACTCATCTGTTTAGACATCACTTTCACAGTATAGGACAAAGGCTGTCTGGGGCAATGGGAAGGATCAGGCTCTCTGAAGCCACTGACTGGACTTAATCCCAGACCCACCTTTGCTAGCTGTGTGACCAGGGGCAGTGACTTCATCTGTCTCAGCCTCAGTTCCCATATCTGGAAAATGGGTATAATAACAGTATTGCCTCACAGGGTTATTGCAAAGGGGAAGTAAGATAATTCACATAAATCCATTTGCACAGTGCTTGAGAAATATGACTGCTTAATTCGCCAGCGCTGCCATCCTCCTCCTCCTCAGCTTATTTGTAAGGCTGTGGTGAGGGGCCCAGACTGCACAGTCCCTACACTCCTCCTTCCAGCCTCTCTGTTCTGGGGCAGGCAAGAGGAGAGATGTGAGGATGGAAAGGTCCATCCACTATCCCACAGACTGCAGCTGGTAGGTGGTGGTTGTTTCTGTCCTTCCTGTGCATAAAAAATAAATGTCAGCCTTGCTTTGTGGGCCAAGGAGGGGCAGTGGGAGATGATGTGAATTCTGGTTGGTGAGTCAGGGTTTCAGGGCCCCTCCTAGCTGCATATCTTATCTGATGGGAGAGTGTGTGGCCCTCTTCCTGTCCCATTTCTCCTCCATCCTGGGTTCCTATGCCAAAAGCTGGCAGCTCAGCTGTTCTAGGCTTGGGCAAAGTTGTCTTTGGCAACTGGGCAAAGGCTTCAAAAAGGGCTAGCTTTGCCTTTCTGTCTGCCCCATCCTACTGCTCACTCCCAGGCCTCCAGACCTAGCCTGGTTTTATCCACTGCTGCCCTAACTAACAAGGCCAGCACTTTGCTTCCCACTTCCCCTTCCAGATGAGTTAGACATCTCAAGGCCAAAGCCAAATCTCAGGGATGACCCCAGAGTTAGGATGGTCCAGGAGGGCCCAGGGAGGGACAAATTTTATTAATAGCTAACGTTTACAGAGCAAGTAATATGAGCTAAATATTTTCTATTTAAGTACTAGCTCATTTAATTCTCATAAGTACCCTAGGGTATGAGAACCATCCCTAAATGCAAGAGAAAATTAAGGCCTAGAGAGGTTAAACAACTGGCTCAAGGTCATGGCCCAGAGAAGTTAACTGGCCCGAGGTCACGGTGCTAGTGAATGGCAGAGCTGGCCCTGAAGCCAGACCATTTGTAACCCTCTGCTTTGCTGGCCCCTGAGCCTCTGCTGCTCTGGACATGCTGAGCAGGGGGCAGAGGAAGGGGATGACCTTGCTCAAACTTTAGTCCAGGGACAGCAGCTTCCCTAGCCTTTAGGGTGATGCAGCGGAGAGCAGAGTGGGCTGAGCCAGGAACCCAGGCTGGATCTGCAGCCACTACGCCTGCATTTCCCAGCACAGCCCAGGGCCCAGTCTGCTCCACCATCCCCATGAGTTCTCAGGAACTGGTCCATAGGACATGTGTTTTGGTTTGGATTAGAGAATCACTATAGCCACAAGCCATGCCCTAGGAAAAGGTGCTATGGCTGGGGAGCCACCCCCACCTTCTCTCCAACCCCATGACCCCCAGAGTGCACAAAGCCACAGCTCCCACCCTGCCCCCTTGCCATTTAGCCTTCTCAGTAGCTTCAATAATTAATCATCTTTTTGTTAACAACAGGTAAGATTATCTCCCATGGTTCTGGACTTAAACAAACAAGCTGGGATTCCTGGTCATGGGCATCCACTCCCACCTCCCCTTCTTCCTTCTTCTCCAGGTCTCCTGCCCTGCCCCCACCACCCCTTGCCCCTTCTCACGGAGGGACCCCCTCTCAGTGAGGTTTACTCTCATGGCTAGGGGGCTGGTTACTATTGGAGGAAGTGTGGGGAGAGGAAGGGTGTGTCACTGGAATGAAGGGCTCTGGTTCACGTCCTTCACCACTGACATGTCTGCTGGCCATAAATCTTTCCCTAAATATCAGTAAGCCCTTCCCTGCCCCATACCATCCTCAAACTCCTCAACTCTTCACAACAAAGAGTGGTTTGCTCAGCTTTACATATGGAGAAACTGAGTCTCCAGCAGACATGGAGATTTGCTTAAGGCTGGGGAAAGTGGTGGATTGGGGATAGAACTGGGGGTTTTTGGCTCCCCACTCAGTGCTTTCAGTGACTCCTTAGCCTGGGAGGGGGTCACTGGAATCACCTAGACAGTGTTTAGTACATCTAGATACTCATGTTCCACCCCAGACATTAAGCATGAGAATCTCCAATTATTGTGTGCAGCCAAGACATAAAAGCACCAGACTGAGATTTCCAGGGTTATTTGCACCTAGAGAAGGAGTTCTTGATGATCCAAAAAGTTTTGTCACTCCTCCTAAATAAGGAGAGAGGGTGGAGAGATTTGGGGATAAAGGATGATACCTCAGTGCCTCTTAAACCATGTCACAGTGTGGCAGTTCGTGAGGCTGGTCCTTATATTCTCCTCCCATGCAATCTCTGCCCCCACCCCCAGCTGGTCCCGAATCTGTGGAGAGTTGGCTGAAGATCTACAGAGGCCCACACCACCTCTTCACTGGAAGTTCCAGGCTCTGGTATTCCTCCCATTACCCTAGAGGCCACTGGCCTGGCTACTTCCTCATGGTACCCTCTGTTCTGCCCCACTAGCCCCCTTATTCAGAGTTGCTTGCCCCACCCCTACACAGCTTGAGCCACTTCCTCCTGGACTTGGGTGAGCCTTGGTCTCATCAGCATTTAAAGCCCCTGAGTCCAGCTTATATTGTACTCCTCTGAACCCTCTTTCAGATTACCAGCCCTGTCTGAACCTTGTTCCCACCCTCTTTACACAGCTGGCCTTGCAACCACTGCCTGGGACCATCCTCTCATTTTCCCATGCACGTGAGCAGCCAGCTTACCAACAAATCCATGGGCTCTTTGATAGTAGGGACCATATCTTTCTCTTATACTTTTCATGGTTCTCCCAAAGACCATCACGTAGTAGGCCTCAATGAGAGACAGAAGGCCCTTTACCCAGAGACACACTCAAGGGTAGGAAAGAATAAAATGTAGGTGGTTTGTACACATTTGCACAGTGCACAGAGTACATGAATCCCAAATTTTTGCCCCCACATAGCGCACATTGGCTACCAAGTTTCCCTCCAGCAGTCGCTGCAGGGAGTGGAGGGAGCATACAGCTGCAGGTAAGGAGACTGGGTGTGAATCTGGCTCTATTGTTTATCAGCTGCTAGTTAACCTCTTGCTATTCAGTTTTTTCTTAAAGATCATATCTGTCCTGCCTATACCAGGGTGATTATGAGTGTTAGTTAAAGGGCATAGTGCATGGAGACTCTTTCTGTAAACTGTGCCACAAACTAAGTTGTTGCTTTTGCTGTCCTCTTCATAGGATCGAAGCCAGCCTTCCCCGAGAGGTCCCCAAACGTCCCTCCGCTGCAGTCACTCCTGAAGCCTCAGCATGGGGTGAGAGGATTGCAGTTCCACCTTCCATTGGGCCCACGATGCAAGCAGAGCAATGATCCCGCTGCCCCTGGCTGGGTCCAGCTGGGCTCTCAGCACCATGGACAGCACCATGCTGGGCAAAGGCATTTCTGCTTCTGCTGCTCTCTGCCAGGGCTCGTGGGCAGGGCCAGGCAATTCTCGCTGCTGCCCCAGCCCAAGAATAAGAATAACAGCTAACACTTATTGAGTGAGTTCTATATGCCAGGCCCTGTGCCAAGTCTCTTCAGGTGTCGACTGGGTTAAACCTATCAGGTTGCATATGGGACACGGTTGATACCCTCAGCATCCATTCCCACCTCTGTGCCTTCCTATATTGCAGAAGCTGGAAAGTTAAAAGGTACATTTCCAACACTCCCTTGCAGCTGGGGTTCTGGATACAGATTAGAGCTCTTCAATTAGACATGCTGGAGATAGATTTACAAGGCTGAAGGGAGGAGAGGGAGGAGGAGGCGATCTCCCTGGTGCTCAGGCCGTGTTCTGCTGACAAGCCATGCCGAGGACAGGAAGGGATTCTCTGCAGGAAGTTCAATGCCCAGTCTCTGGCTCCCAGGGAGGGGGTGGTGTGAGAGGCAATTGTGGCAAAAGCTGCAGCAGTTTTCTCATCCCTAGATAGCAGGTGAAAGGACGTGAACTCTGTGGCTCCAGTAATGGCCCTCCTGACTGGGTGAGGAGTAATTTGTCTGGAGGGACAGTTCTGCTCTGTTCTGAAGACCCAGCTTCTAATTCTTCCAGTGATTTCGAGACCCTGCGATTCCCTGTATGAATCAAGCTGACTACAGCATCATGTCCCAGTCCTGGTTTTGCTTAAGATTCCTAGAGTGTTTTTTGTTTCCTGTACAAAGACCAGGCAGGTTCTATTATTATCCCATCTTATGAATGAGGAATTTCAGGCCCAGAGAGGTTAAAAGACTTGCCCAGATCAGGGAGTTAGTACCGTGAAGTTAGGGCCTGAGCTGGGGGGCTGGTTCCACAGCCCCCTCCTGATCACTTTGCTATGTGCCACCCTCGAGGCAGAGAACGCTGATTCCAACAAGCAGGAATGAAGCTGCTAGGCTCAAGACAGAAGTACACTGAAAAAAGGAAAGGCTGATAGAGAATACTGGAACCACACTCCAGGCTCCTATGGGTGTAGCCCCTGAGGGGGCCTCAGGAGAAGAAAGGGGCAGGAAAGGACATGGGCATTTGTGATGGGCCAGGCCTTCTTATGGCTATCCCACTGAACATCGTTTATTCCTCACAAGCAACATGAGAGGTAGCAGCCTAAGAAGTAAGAGTCAGTATCCCCATCTTACACGTACAGAAACTGAGGCTCAGAGAGGTTAAGTAACTGGCCTAAAGTTACACAGCTGGAGAGAGACAAAGGCAGGATTAGAATCTAAGTGTCTGCCTCCACTACATCACGCAGCCTCCGAAGGCACAAGCCTTTGAAGGAACAGAGCAGCTTTGCCCAATTCCAGGAGGACTGTATTTCTGGGGTACAGGAGGATGGCCTCCCACATCTGTACTACATCTAAGGGACTCTCAGCTAAAGAGAAGGACCAGGCAGCTTCTATTTTTATCCCATCTTATGAATGAGGAATTTCAGGCCCAGAGAGGTTAAGAAACTTATCCTCTTAACACCTCTGTGGGTGGCAGATGGAGTTGGGACGCCATCAGGGGAGAAGGTGGCCACTTGGACTCAGGCTGGAAGCTGAGTGTGTTGGCTTCCCCACCCCATCCATCTCACCTCTGGGACCCCCACAGAGATGCCTCTCCTTGCCAGGAAGTTTCTTTTCCTTGTCCTCCAGACCCTGGACCCCAACCCATGGCTTTCTGCCTATGCCCCTGAGTAAGTGAGCAGCCATGATGGTGCCCAGGGGGTGCTGGAGACAGAAGGCAGAGGCAGCTGTGGGGCTGTCACAGTCACCCAGGCCCCTGGGAGCTGGGCAGTGACTCAGGGAGACACGGGGAGGAGGACAGGTGACTTCATGCCTGTGTTAAAAAGGTAAAATAGGAAATAAAAACAGCAGGATACAATGCTGTTAAATGAAATGATCTGGATTCTAAAAAAAAATAAAAGAAAAAAACTAAAATTATATCACATTCTTTTAACAGTCCTTAACATTTTTTTCTGAGTTTGAAAAACTATTTAATATGAACATGTATTGTTGCTTCTAATTAGAAAAAGATCATATATTAAAAGGAAGGCTTGAGATTGACAGATATCCATGTAATCAAGCTTTCCTCCTGCATCAAATCCCTCTTCCCTTCCTCAAATGCCCTCATTCTGATCAGCTCCCACTCAGACTTGTTGATGGGGAGGAGAGGGTGGAGGGACTGAGCTCTCACAGTGACATGCAGCCCAGTGGTTCCTGTGCAGGCTGCCTACTCAGAAAGAAGAATCAAAGCCTGAATCCAATGCCATCTCCTCTCTCTCCCCTGTCAGGGCCTGGCTGGGCCATGGGCAGGCAGATCAAGAAGCCAAGGTGGTGCATCATCGAAGCCAAAGTGGCCACCAGGTCCCTGGGCGTCTGCCTGAAAGCCAGAGGCAAGCCTCCCTCCCTGCTCCACCCCAGGTCAGTGGCTCCTCCTGACAGCAGTGGTACTGTGCTGACTACAGCATCAAGTCCCAGGGGCAGAGATCAGGAAGAGGACTTGGAGGCCTCCCTGGCACAGCTCTCACTAGGGCAGGCAGGGGCAGCCTCCCCAGCCCCCTGCCCTGCCCCTCCCACCTCCCCACCCCCTCAATGGATCAGTGGAAGATGGTAGCTACTGAGGCCCCTCTAGTCATTTTTTGGGGTGGTCTAAACCTAGACTCCTATAGGGAAGAGAACAAAAGAGAAATGGTAGCCTCCAGGAGGTAGGGGGCGGGGTCCTGAATGGGCCTGGCCTCTGGATTACCTCTGAGCCTGACGGAGGGCCTATGTGCACTCTCCTCCAGGTGACAAAGTATGTTTACAAAGTCATCTCACCTGGCCCCCAACAGTCCTGCCAGAGAAGAGGTGGCAACTGTCCCCATTTACAAATGAGGATGCTGAGGCCCAGAGTGGGTGTGTAGCCTGCCCAGGGTCATACAGCTAGCAGCTGAACAGCAGGGGTGGAGATCTAAAGCCAAGGCCCGAGCTTCTGCACAGCTCCCTGCTCCTTTTGACATCTGAGCTCTCTGCTCCTGGCCTGCTCCTGGGCAGAGGCTGGGACCAGGGGAGGCCCTCTTGGCCCCAGGAGCCCCTCCAGTCTCACCTCCCCCAGCTCCCCACGAGGAATCTCAGCTCCAGCCGATGGAAGGCCCCTTGCCCATCAAAGGCCTTGGTTGTCTCTGCCCCCTCCATTCCTCCCCTCTGTGGAGGACCTTGATCCTCCCCCAACGGGAATGCTCCATTGGCAAGGCCCAGTTCAACTCTGCTTTCTTCAGGGAGCCTTCTGGGTACACCCCCTGGTCTTGCTGATCTCACCCTCCCTTCCATCCTACTGTTCTCACTTATTCTTTCCTGAGTTCTCTACTGGATAGGGGTTGCTAAAGAGGATGAGATGTGTTCCTCCCCTCCTCAAGCTCATTCTAGGTGAATGAGAAAGGCCTTGGCTGAAAGGCAGTGATAACGCAGTGTGAGAAGGGCTCACAGATGAACCGAACCCAATCTGCAGTGCCTGGGGAGGCCTCCTGGACCAGGCTGTGATGGAATCAGCTAGAAGGGCTTTCTTCGCTCTCCTTAACTTGGCCAGCAAGGCCTGGGTGTGGGGCCCTGCCTAGTGTTCTGGCTTCATCATGTCAAACTTCCCCCTCACTTCCATCTCCAGCCTCCTAGGTTGTTCCCTCAGTTCCTGGAGCATGCCACCTTCCCTCCTGCCACAGGGCCTTTGCATATGCCAGTCCCACCACCTGGAAGGTTCTCTCTCCCATTACTTGATTCATTCTCCCCCTGGTTAATCTCAGCTCCATTTTTGCTTCCTTAGGGAAGAGCTCAGGCCAGGCCCAGCTCCCCAAGTCCTGTGCCTCTGAGCATCTTGGGAGGCAGGCATCATGTATGCAGCAAATGTGGATTTCTAGTACTAGACTCTCTGGGCCCAAGTTCTGCCTCTGCTACTTACTAGCCCCATGTCTTTGGGCAAGCTTCTTAACCTCCCTATGCCTCAGTTTCCTTGTCTGTAAAATGGAGATGTTAATAGCACCTACTTATTGGGTAGATGTGAGGTTTAATAGAGCCAACTCACATGAAACATTAGAGCAGTGCCTAGCACATTGCAATGGCTCAATAAAGTTAAGTATAATTTTCCTTGTTGTACCTAGTACATTCGATGTTGTTTACGGGATGACGTAGCAGACGGCTGACTCCCCACACCTCCCCGCAAAGGGAAGCTCCTTGACAACAGAGCCCTTGGCTGTGTTTGCTGATTATTTCCTCTGCTGTGCTGGATAGGGTTGAGTGCTTTACAAATATTTGCAGAAGAAAGGAAAGATTGGCAGTGGGTTGGGGTAGGACTCATTTGGCCCCCGTGATGAGAGTGTTTTGGCTGGAGGAGATCTTACAAATCATCTAACTTAAGCCCTCCTTCCACAGAGGGACAAAGGGAGCTGCTGGTGAGCATTTCCCTGGGTTTCCAGTCTCAGGGGGCTGAGCAGCCCTTGCCCACCTCTGTCTCCCCCTAGGGCTTTGCTCAAAGCCTATCATGGCAAAATCTCAGACTGAGGCATCTGTTTCTGTTTTGATTTAAAAAAAAAATGTGGCGCATCTCATATTTGAGTGTTGTGGAGCAAATACATTCACCACAACTGGGTGAAGCTGAGGGATCCAGTTTGACCCTGAGTTATTGCTGCAATTCTTGTCTCCGTGGTAACAAGTCCCCACTAAGTCTTCAGCCAGCAAGGCTGGGCAATGGCTCAGCTCAGCTCCTGTTTTGCAGGGCCCCTGGGCTAAGATGCCGGCAGGCAGCCAGCATGGTTCTCCCTCCAGCCTCTCCCCTGACTGCTTCCTCTGCAGGAGTCTGGAGGGGGCAGGAAGGAGGAGAAGGAGGTGAAGCAGCCATAGGGATATAGCAGCAGAGGCTCTGACCCCAGAGTCAGCTCCAGCTAGAGCCGGGTTGGAGGCTGCCAATGGGGAGGTGCCTACCAGCAGGAGCAGCCTACTGGGGCCATCACACCCCACCTCCTGCTGCTGCCAGGGTGGGCTCTGATCAACCAAAGCTCTGCAGCCAGTCACACTCAGATCCAACCAGCTGTTGACAATTTATTACTGTCTAGATAGAGCCACCCTGCACTGAACACCTGCTCTGGGCCAGCCCCGAGCTAGGTGCTGAAGAGGCAGGGATCCATTACATATGGCCTGTCCTCAGCAAGCACACAGTCAGGTGGAGGAGATCCAAGTGGTGTGAAAGTAGCCAGAATAAAGAACAATGGGTGCATGGCCAGGCAGGAAAAGCAAGATGCAGACGGCACATGGAGAATGCTGCCTCCTGTGTGTCTCCATTTCCTCTAGAAGGATGCACAAGAAACTGTTGCCAGTGCTTGTCTTCTGGGTAGGGAACTAGGTGGCGAGGAAGACTTACCTTTCACTCTGTTCTCTTTATTGTTTTTTTTTTTTTTTTTTTCAAGATGGAGTTTCGCTCTTTTGCCCAGGCTGGAGTGAAGTGGCAGGATCTTGGCTCACTGCAATCTCCACCCCCCGGGTTCAAGTGATTCTCCTGCCTCAGCCTCCTGATTAGCTGGGACTACAGGCGCCCACCACCATGCCCGGCCGGCTAATTTTTGTATTTTTAGTAGAGACAGGGTTTCACTATGTTGGCCGGGCTGGTCTCTAACTCCTGACCTCAGGTGATTCACCCACCTCGGCCTCCCAAAGTGCTGGGATTACAGGGATAAGCCACCACGCCCAGCGTCTTTATTGCTTTTTGAATTTTGTACTATATGCATACCTAACCGTTTTGAACAAAACAAAACAACAAAACCAAACTGAAAAGCAGCATCACTGGGTAAGTGTTGTAATAAGGATGTGGGCTTCTCAGTGCTGGACACCCAGAGAGGAGGAGTGGATAGCTCTGACACTTAGGGACTCTCTCTCCTCTCAGGAGCTCAGTTCCATGTGCCAGGTAGAGGGGTGTGTGTGCGTGTGTGTGTGTGTGTGTGTGTGTGTGTGTGTGTGTGTGTGCGCCTGCCTGTCTGCCTCTGTAGCTATGTGTTTGGGATGTGCAGCGCTACTGGGTTGAACAGTATCCTCCCAAAATGCATGTCCACGTGGAAGCATGGAATGTGACCTTGTTTGGAAATAGAGTCTTTGCAGATGTAATTTGTTAAAATGAGGTCATACATGATGAGGGTGGCCCCTGAATCCAACGACTGGTGTCCTTAGATGAAGGCCATGAGAAGACAAAGGGAGAGACTGGAATGAGACAGCTGCAAGTCAAGGAATGCCAAGAACTGCTGACAACCCCCAGGAACTAGGAAGAGGCAAGTAAGGATGCTCCCCTAGGTCCTGCAGAGGGAGCACGGCCCTGCTGACACCTTGATTTCAGACTTCTGGCCTCCAGGACTGGAAGAGAATAACTTTCTGTTGTTCAGAACCACACAGTTTGTGGTAATTTGTTGCAGGGCCCTGGGAAGCCAATACAGTGGGTCTATGCATTGGTGCTTGTGTGTTTTGAGGTGTGTCTGTCAATGTGTTTGTGTGTGTGTGTGTGTGTGTGTATCTGAGTATGTTTTGAGGGGTATTTGGTTGTGCTTAGGAATGTGTTTGTGATTATAGTTTGGGTTTTAGATGCTTGTGTTTTGGGTTGCATGCATATTTATGTGTTCATATGTGTGCATGTTGAGTTGTATACACTTGTGTGTTTTGGCGCTTGTGTGAATTTATGTGTTTTTAGCCAATGATCTCCAGGGTCTCCCTTAGTTGTGTCATTCCAGAAGTCTGCCCTGGGGCCCCTGCTGCAGGGAGCACCTAGAAGGGATGCTGGGCAATGGCAGTGGGGATGGAATGGACTCAAGAGCAGGTGGGAGCAGCGTCCTGTCTGGTCTAGGGCCACCTGGGAGAGGGCAGGGGCATCTCAAGTGTCCCCATCACACCTGCCCTGTCAGTGCAATGATCTCAGCCTCAGGAGTGGGGGTCCAGTAGGAGCCATGTCCTGGGGGCCCAGCCCCAGGGCCTTCTTGGAAGCCTTCAGCAGAGAAGAAACCGCCCCCGCTACTCCCAGAGACACTCTACTTCCTCTCCTCTTTGGTGTTAGTTTATGGGAAAGTGAACGCACACCCTTGAAACATTACAGCAATGGGTCTCACACTTTGGTGGGTCACAATCAGCAGCAGGGCTTGTTACATCACAGATCGCTGGGCCCTGCCCCAGGGTTTCTGCCACAACAGGTCTTGGGTAGCGCCTGAGAATCTCTGTCTCCAACAAGTCCCTGAAGGATGCTGATGCCGCTGGGCCAGGGACCTCACACTGAGAATCACTATCCTAGACCATAGAACAGGAGAGGGAGGCTCCTCTTTCAGCTCCCTCATCTGACCCCCAGACTTTGGTGTGGGCAGCCTCGTGTTTTCAGGATAGGCCCTGGAAAAGGCAGCCTCAAGCTGATTCTTTCCGTCTCACTGTCTCTCCCACCTGTCATTCACAAAATAATTTATTCAGCAAATTACAGTCCAGACTCTGTTCCCTGAACTCAAGGTGCCTACAGGCAAGACACAAGGCTCTAGTGGGTACACAGACCCCTAAGAAGACCATAACAAGACCGCATAGCTGCACTCTGGAGCTCTGTTCAAGGAGTACTGGGAGCACAGAGGAGGAGCTCCTGCCTCAGTCCTGGAGAATCCACAAAGGCTGCCTGGAGGAGGTGCCAGCCAAGGCAACTCTTAGAAGATGGATAGCTTCTCTTTTGCTGTGGGTGTGGCCACAAAACGTTTCCCACTTGGTTTTCTATCTGCTACCTTGCTCTTAGCCAGCCTATTGGGAACATTTTATGAACACTTTATTAAACTGTTACCAAAAAAAAAAAAAAAAAAAAGACAAACAGCACTAGATCACTTTAACTGAGCACTTATTACCTGCCAGCTGCTGTGCTAAGACTCTGGAAGCACGAGAGCACCTGTGTCCTCACATCACCACCAAGAGGGGAACTATTGTCCTTGAGTGAGATTTGAGCCTAGCCAGTTGGCCTCAAGGCATCACATTTCTAGCCTGAGGACACATGGGCCTCCTACCATGTGGAGGACAGGGCAGAACATTCCGGGAGGAGACCTGGGCATGCATAAAAGCCGAGAGGCAGATGGGGAGCGGGGGCAGGACAAGATGTGAGCCTAGTTCAGGTCCCCTGGATGGAAATGCACCACCCCTCAGGGGCAGCAGAGCCAGGATGGGGGCCAGGTTGAAGCCTATTTCTGGGCTCTGGCGCCATCTGTCTAAATAGGGCCAGAGCCACGTTGGCTGCCTCGTGTGCTCTCTGAGCACAGCTGGTCCAGTGATGGGTGGGAGGCAGATGGCAGAGGCTGTGGGTCTGGCTCACAGGGCCTCACAGGGCCTGGGGGGCATGAGGGACCTGAGAATCCCTGCTACCATAGTGGGAGCTCTCTATTCACAGGTTTGCTTGTGATGAAGGTTAGCCCTGCAGGGAGGCTGTGCCGAGGGGCTGAGGGGTGGTGGCTGGCACAACCTCCATGACTCGTGGTGGATCCACATCTTAGCTCCCTGGCAGTCTCCATGTGGCTCTGGGGATCATCAGAGCCTCCTCAACTAGAGCACAAACTCCAGGGCAGGAGCCAGCCTCCTCTGAACTTGCTCCTGCCCCTTGGGTAGGGGATCAGGAAAGCCACACTGATCCAGGCTGAATGAGGACTTGAATGGAGACCTGAAGCCAGATGATGGAAAAAGAGAAAGTGAACTACAGCTGCAGCAAGAGGTATTTCAGTTAGACACAAGGAGGCACTGGCCTGGGAGACTGAAGGGAGTACTAGCTATTTCTGGGGGAAGAGAGGGATCCCTCCTTCTGTCTGCGACAATCTGCTTCTCTGGAAAAAGGATGGTGGGGATTTCTCTCTCCTCGTCCTTCACCGGCTCCTCTCTCATCTCTCACCTACATTTTAGTTTCCCCTCCTTTCTTGCCCGCCTCCACTTCTGCCTTCGTTGTCTGAGTGGGCCCGGCTCATCACAGTGTCGCTGGGAGCCTTTGAGCAGGGACACAATTCAGCCAGTGTTCGATGAGTCCCACACCTGCTGGAGGTGAAGGAGTCCAGGCCCTGCCCGGAGCACTTCCAGCCAGGTGGAGACACAAGACAGGAAAACCGGTGCCTACACCCAAGGCAGAGTAAGAGCCGCACACTGAGAAGGGAACAAGCCAAGCTGTGGGGCTCAGAGACCACAGCCCGGGGGGTCAAGGAAGGCCTCGGAGAGGTGGCATTTGGAGACTGGGCGAGATTTCCATACTGACAGAAACCAGTGGGAACAAGGATAGTCCAGGCAGAGGGACAAATGAGAGGAAGAGGGAAACAGAGAGTGGACTGTTCTGGAAATGGCAGGCAGACTAGCTTGGCTGAAGAGGTGGGATGAGAAGGGTCTGGTGAGATAACAGGCAAGTTGGGACCAGATCATGAGGCCCTGAATCTCGGCTGAATGATTTGCACTTGACTGTGTAGGCAGTGCGGAGCTATTGAAGGTCTTGGAGGAAGGGCATGGCATTATCTGGGCTGGGACTAGAAGAGCTTCTAGATTTTGCTCCTATCCTAGAATCTCATGAAAGGCATTTGGCCTTGATTCTGAGCCCCCGGGCCTCTCAGGAATCCCCAAGGGGAGCAAACAATCTGTGTGTCTCAAATGTTGCCTTTCCAGTGAGGTCTGTCCTGACCATTCTTCTTAATAACGCAGCTCCTCCGGCACCCCTGATTGCCCTCCCTTTCTTTCTCTGTGTTTTTTATTTCCCCCATTGCATTTATCTCCTTCTAACATACATCATCCATAATATGCTGTTCATTATCTGCCCCATTTGAATGAAAGCCCCCTGAGAGCAGGGTCATGTTTGTTTTACTTGCTGCTGCCTAGTCCAGTGTCTGGAATCTCAACAGATTCATTCATTCTTCAAGTGGATAAAGAGAAAAATACCACCTTGCGGGAACCAGCATGCTCTGGTTTGCCCCCTCCCTGTCCCTTTACTGCTGGCTTCCTGGGCTTGGCAGCACCGAGCCTCCAAGTGGAAAAATCTCTGAGAAAACCAAGCAGAGCTGCGCTGCTTCCCTCCTGCACTTCCCATCCTTGCCAGGAAACATTTGAACTGTTTCCTGCTCCTGCCAAAAACCACCACTATTTTCCTGTATCTCAGAGCGGAGGCCAGGCGAGGACAATTTCCCCACCTAAGGAAAGCTAGAAGTTTGCAGGACTGAAACAGCTCCACTTGGCAGCCTGGAGAACAACTTTGATGGTCTGATCAGAATCGCGGCAAATTCCCAAGTGCCCTCTCCATGCGTGCAGTGGCTCTGGGCATTTTGCTCCATTTTGCCCTCACCCTGACTCTACGAAGCAGGTGTTATCCTCCGCATTTCACAGACGGGAAAATACAGAAGTTCATTGATGTGGCCAAGGTCTCTCCACCAGATAAGGAGGCTGGTCTCAAATGCTGTTCTGTCCTGCCCCAGCCCAGGGCTTGTTCCTCCAC
This sequence comes from Homo sapiens, assembly GCF_000001405.40. Lineage (NCBI taxonomy): Eukaryota > Metazoa > Chordata > Mammalia > Primates > Hominidae > Homo > Homo sapiens. Next base: position 77,198,342 of record NC_000014.9, on the reverse strand, counting down.
AGTGTGTGGCCTCTCTTCCGCCAGAGGGGCTGAGATGCAGGATGGAGCTAGCTGAGTTCTCTGTCCCAAGATGCCAGATCATGGGTAGTCTCTGCTGGCCTCAGGCTTCCCACCTGAGCCATGGGAGCCAAGGTTTTGGCCACAGCCCCATGATGAATGAGGACCATGACGTCACGTCTGCTGCCTGGCCTGAACTCATCAGAGTACACATTATAACTGCGGTCACTGCCTGTCTGGGCAATGGCCAAGTGTCCTCTCTTGACTCTGATGTGGACCAAGGCTGGAGCTCAAAATAGGGCTCACTGCATTTGCAGGCCCAGTGGATCCAAGGGAAACCAACCCTAGCCTTGTGTGCGGATGCAGGGCCCCAGATCCAGGTCCGCTCCTGGCCAGGCTATGGCTGGGGAGGCAGAAGAGCTTGGATCAAACCCCCAGATGTGGGCTGTAGGTGACTGCACTTCCATTCCTTAGGGACTCAGTTCACCCACTCTGAGAGCGGAAACCCTCTCCCAACAAACATTACTGATTCCTTACTACATGCAAGGCAAATGATATTCTTCTCTGCCTTCAAGCCCTTAAAGTGAAGTTAGGGCACAGTCATTAACTAGACAATGGGGAGTCATGGTTGGTTGTAGAGCCAGGGAATTGGATGACTGCACTGTGTCTTAGGGAGGTTGATCAGGCAGCAGACTATGGCTGGGAGAGAACAGACTTTTGCAGTGATCGGATCTAATGTGTTAAGCACTTACTGGGTGCTAGATGTTGTTTCAAGTACTTTACAGATATTACCGTAGTTAATCTTCACCCTAGGGTACTATTGTTAACCCCATTTTACAGATGAAGAGACAGAAGTTCATAGAGATAACAAGGCCAGTAGGTGGTTGAGCTGGGTTGTGAACCCATCTGGCTCCACTGCTGCCTCTTCTAATAATCTTGAACAAGAGTCTGGCGTAGGGCTGGGGCCCTGGGAATGGCCAGAGGAACAGAAGTGAAACACTGCCTGTGGCTAAGGCTCCCTGCCCTGGAGGGCTCTCCCAAGAAAGGACCAGGAAATTATAAAGGGGACATAAAGAACCATATCTAAGATTATTTTTATCAGTAACAGCAACAATCACGATGCTCTTGGCCAACACCCCATGCAGGATAGTATCTTCTTTCATGTAAGAGAGATTTGAGACACTCTCAAATAGAGAAATCTTAACACAGTTAGAGCTTCCTCTGGAAAGCTTCCTGGACTCTCTAATCCTTCCTCAAAGATTTATTTATTAATGTATTTACTTACTTAAATAGGGAAGAAAGCCTCACTTAGATGCTAACCTAGCTTCAATACCTTCTAGCTTGGGATGTCCAGTCACTGTCAATGTTCCTTTTGCAAAGTGGGGAGGAGTTGCTGGAGGTAACTGGGAAGGTGGAAGGAGAGGAAGAGGAGCGTGGGGCACAGGCTGGGCTGAGGGGCAAGGGGAGGCCACTGAGCCCAGGAAGGGCTGTCTGAAGCCAAAGGGCTTCCCGCGCTGTTTTGACAAGATTACACCTGATTCCTCTGAGATGTTCAACCACAACATTGGAAACTACACTATTGATACAAGTAATACTTGAGAAGTAAAAAGAGATTGCGGTTGGATTCTGCCTCTAAGATCCCTAGCTCTAGCAGTCTATGAAGATACCATCTGTCTTAATCCTTTCCTAGAGGATAAAGTGTCAAGAGTTAGGGAACTCTTGGAAGAGCCACATCTGGCCGGATTCTAGGCTTGCCCCAAACCAGAGTCAGCTGGGCAAAGAACCACCAGGAGGCCCAGCTAGCAGCTCAGCCCCGGGGGAATTTCCAGGGGACAGAGGACATCCTAACCAAAACCAGAGCATCTTCTGCCCCTTCCCAGGCCTCATGGGCAGGGTCACCTGGGACAGCGCCCTTCAGAATGGGGTTAGGCCGTTCTGCCCCTTTCCTGGCAGGTTGTGGGTTTGGGAGGGCTTAGGGAGGGTCTTTGCCCAAGTGCTGGCTAGAGAGCTGCAGGCCATGGGCGGCCAGGATGGCCACATTTCCCAGGCTCAAAGTGGGGAGCTGGCACTAGGGCTTAGCCCTGATGGGTGATGGGATGATGCCGGGGCACCTACCTGGAACAGCAGCTGAGGTTTGGGGCTCAGGCCCCACGTGGCCTCTGGGCTGTAATAGGACCTTCCCTCCTCTTGATCAGTCCCCAGGAAACGGTCCTTCTGAGTGGCCCAGCGGTGTCCCCGCTCGATTCCTGACCCCGAGGGAGGCTCCTCCAAGGCTCTATAGCACAGGGACAACAGAACCCTCTCAGTGCAGGCGGGCATGCATCCCAGTCCTCCCTGGCCTCCTTGCAGCTCCTTCCCAAGCCCAGGCTGGCCAAGCCCCTCCCAACTCCAACGTGCTTGTCAGTATCTACCACAAGGCCTGCCTTGGGGAGCTGTGATGGGGTGAGGGGTACTCCGGAAGCATCCATGACCCCCAGCCTGCCCCAGCTCCAAATCCAGGCCAGCCAGTGCCCACCCCTGAGGTAGGTGAGCTGGGAGCTACCATTCAACCCAGCTGAGCAGCAGCTGTGGGGAGCGGGCCATGGAGACAGCACGGCACTGGGAGTCCAGGCACCAGCTCTGTCACTTCCCCTGCTGAGCTGGAGCACCCCACCTTCCCTTGCTGCTGTGGGGGTGTTCAGCCTAGATGCACAGACAATGCCAGCAGGGTTGAGCTGGGGGAGGTCAAAGGGGTCATACACATCACCCACTTCAGAATCATCTGCAGGAGGAGGGGAGGGTTTGCTAAAATGCAGGTGGAAGGGCGCTACCTTGACCCACTGAACTTGAATCTCCAGGAGGGTGTTTGGGAACCTGCATTTTAACAAGTTCCCCACATGGGTGCCCATGAAGTAAGACTCAGTAGATGACACACTGGGAAAGGGCAGAAAAGTCCAAGGATGATTTTATAATCCACATAAAGGGATCATCGGTCCCTTTCCTGAAAGCAGCATCACAGGAGCCCAGTCTCTGCAGCCAGCTAGCCAGGGAGCCCCGGCAGCTTGCTCAATCCTCTCTAGCTCTCATTTTCCTCATGGATAAAATAAAGATTGGCGGTGAACTCTTGGGCCCGCCCACATCTGAAATTGTGAATGCAAGGAGAGGTGAACCCACTGAGAAACGAATTTAAAAACAAAGTTCAGGGTGAGGCATTTTAACTGGTATTCTCCCCTTTATAATTTGTTTCTTCTTAAATATTCTTGTTTGTTTTGTTTTTTTGAGATGGGGTCTCACTATGTTGCCAAGACTGGTCTCCAATGCCTGGGCTCAATTGATCCTCTCGCCTCCGCCTCCTAGATAGTTAAGATTACAGGCACATGCAACCATGCCCAGCTTTAAATATGCTCTTTAAATTCTGAAAATAACATGCTTAGGGGGAAAAAAATCAAACCATTCAAAATAATACACAATGAAAACGAAATCCACGCTAGGCATGGTGGCTCACACCTGTAATCCTAGCACTTTGGGAGGCCGAGGTGGGAGGTTCACTTGAGCCCACAAGTTAGAGACCAGCTTCGGCAACATGGCAAAAACCCGGTTCCACAAAAAGTACAAAAAAAAAAAAATTAGCTGGATGTGGTGGTGTCCGCCTGTAGTCCCAGCTACTCGGGAAGCTGAGGTGGGAGAATTACTTAAACCCAGCAGGTTGAGGCTTCAGTGAGTCATGATAGTGCCACTGCGCTCCAGCGTGTGTGACAGAGCAAGACCCTGTCTCCAAAAAAAGGAAGAAAGAAAGACAGAAAGAAAGAAAGAGAAAGAAAGAAAGAAAGAAAGAAAGAAAGAAAGAAAGAAAGAAAGAAAGAAAGAAAGAAAAAAGAAATATGGCATGGATGTCCCTGCCATCTCAGATCTATGCCCCACTCTCCAACATAAGTATCATTTCCTAAATTTTCCTCGAGAATTTTTTTCAGAAATATGAACATACACACACACACACACACACACACACACACACACACACACACACACATATATATATATCTATGCCTGCATCTTTATTTTAAACCCAACCAGGAACATATTCCCAGTACTTATATTTGCTTTGCTAATTAACATACATCACACATCTCTGCATACCAGCACAGACAGATCCCTCCATTCTTTTCATAGCTCATAGTGTTCCACTGAACCGATGCACTACACTTTCTGTGAATCTGTCCTTGTTGATTGATATTTAGGTTATTTCTACATTTTTTGCTGCACAAGCAAAGCTGTAATCAACATCTTTGTTTTTTCTTGTTTGTTTGTTTTGAGACAGCATCATACTCTGTAATGAATATCTTTGTTTTTTCTTGTTTATTTGTTTTGAGACAGCGTCATACTCTGTTGCCCAGGCTGGAGTGCAGTGGTACGATCCCAGCTCACAGTAGCCTCAACTTCCTGGGCTCAAGTGATCTTTCCACCTCCATCTCTCAAGTAGCTGGAACCACGGGTGCCCACTACCATGCCCGGCTAATTTTTTTTTTTTTTTTGAGACGGAGTTTCGCTCTTGTTGCTCAGGCTGGAGTGCAGTGGCGCAATCTCTGCTTACTGCAACTTCTGCCTCCCGGGTTCAAGCCATTCTCCTGCCTCAGCCTCCCGAGTAGCTGGGATTACAGGCATGCGTCACCACACCCGGCTAATTTTGTATTTTTAACAGAGACGGGGTTTCTCCATGTTGGTCAGGCTGCTCTCAAACTCCCAACCTCAGGTGATCCGCCCGCCTCGACCTCCCAAAGTGCTGGGATTACAGGCGTGAGCCACCTCACCAGGCCTAAATTTTTTTTTAATTTTTGTAGAGATGAAGTCTCACTTTGTTGCCTAGGCTGGTCTCAAACTCCTGGGCTCAGGTGATGCGCCTGCCTTAGCCTCCCAAAGTGCTGGGATTACAACCATGAGCCACCGTGCCCAGCCTACATCTTTGACTTTATATCTTTGTGCACATATATGAGGCCAGCTAGAGGATATCCCTGGGTCAAAACTTATGTGAACCTAACATTTTGCCAAATTGTCCTCCAATGAGGGTGAACCAGTTTGCTCTGCCCCAGCAACTCATACCCTCACAAGTGTGCATTATCAGATTGTTGGATTTTTACAGTGAGTTTAAAAATGGTATCTTGTTTCAATTTGTAATTCGGTTGTCAAAAAAGACAGACGTATTTTCATGTTTATTGACTGAATGGCCTTTGCACTTATTTTTCTGTGACTTGTCTGTGTCCATCCTTTCTAATTTCTTATTGATTTTTAAAGAAGTTTTTCTAAATTAAGGCAACTTACTTCTTGTCATGTGTATTGCAAATTGTCATTCATCTCTTTTTGAGTTTATTTATGGCATCCTTTGGACTTGCTTAAAAAGCCTTTCCCATTTGAGAATCATGAAAGTATTTGCCCATATTTTCAACTTGTATTCTTAAAGGTTTCTTCCTCCTTTTCTTCTTCTCCTTCCTCCTGTTGTTGTTGTTCTTCTTCTCCTTCCTCCTCCTCCTCTTCTTCTTCTTCCTCTTCTTCTTTTTCTTCTTCCTCTTCCTCCTCCTCCTCCTTCGTCTTTGTCTTATTCTTTCTTGAAGCAGGGTCTCACTCTGTTGCCCAGGCTGGAGTACTTATGTGACACAATCATAGCTCACTGCAGCCTTGAACTCCTGGGCTCAAGTGACTCTCCTGCCTCAGCCTCCCGAGTAGCTGCAACTACAGGCACGCACCACCACCCCTGGCTTTCTTCTTTCTTTTTAAAATATCTTTGCCCCCTCTAGAATTTATTTTGATGTAGGGATTGTGGTAGGGCCCAACTTTATTATTTTTTTCAAAGGGCTACACAGTTGTCCTAAAGTCATGTTTGAATAATCCATTTCCTGCTCCCCTACCCAACAATCCTCCCTCTAAATTCAAAATTCCGATTTGACTATGTAGGAGGATGGATACAAAGAGCATAAACTCAGAGTGAAGTGCTTGGTTCAAATTTCCACTCTACTGGACCTAGGATAAGTTGCCTACCCTTTCTGTGCCTCAGGTTCCTCATCTAAAAATGGAGGTAACAGTAACGCCATCTGCATGGAGTTATTGTGAGGATTAAATGAGTTATTACAGGTAAAGGGTGTAGAAAGATGCAACTAATCTATGCTACCCACAAGAGGCTGAACCTTAGATGTAAAGGCTCACATAGGTGGAAAGTGAAAGGATGGAAAAAGTCATTCCATGCAAATGGTAACCAAAAGAGAGCAAGGATGGCCGTATTTATATCAGTCAAAAGCTGCCACAAAAGACAAAGGAGGCTATTACATAATGATAAAGAGTTAATTCACCAGGAAGATATAACAACTATAAATACATATGCACCTAACAGCAGAGCACCCAAATATATGAAGAAATATTGACAAAACTGAAGGGAGAAATAGACCACACCACAATAATAATTGGAGATTTCAGTACTCCTTTCAATAATGGATAGAACAACCAGACAGAATATCACTAAGAAAATGGAGAACTAGGCCAGGCTTGGTGGCTCATGCCTGTAATCCCGGCACTTTGGGAGGCCGAGGCAGGCGGATCACCTGAGGTCGGGAGTTCGAGACCAGCCTGACCAACATGGAGAAATCCCATCTCTACTAAAAATGCAAAATTAGCCAGGCTTGGTGGCGCATGCCTGTGATCCCAGCTACTTGGGAGGCTGAGGCAGGAGAAATGCTTGAATCTAGGAGGTGGAGGTTGTGGTGAGCCGAGATTGCACCATTGCACTCCAGCCTGGGCAATAAGAGCGAAACTCTGTCTCAAAAAAAAAAAAAAAAAAAAAAAGAAAAAGAAAAAAGAAAAGAAAGAAAAGAAAAAAAAAATGGAGAACTTGAGCAACACTATAGACCAATTGTACCTAATAGACATATGCAAAAACTCCTCCAAACAGCAGCAGAATATACATTATCTCAAGCACATACGGAACATTCTCCAGGATAGCTCACACCTTAGGCTACAGGTAAAGAATAGGACAGTGGCCACACAGAGGAACTACTATATGGTGGTGTTTACTACTATTATTATTGCATATTAGGTGTGCTTTGTTTATCAGTCTGTGAAGCCGTTCCATCATTTGACAAATATCTACTACTATGTGTCAGGCCCTATTCCAAGTGCCAGGGAATCAAGAATGAAGTAGTCTTAAGAGCTGCTCCTGCCACCTCTGGTTAGACTTAGTACTGGTTATTTTAGCCCTTTTACTGATATTTTCAATTTCTTCCATTATATTTAAAAGGTTAAAGTCTGTTTATATACAAACAAGCTATATATTTTTGCTTCTAATAGTTATTACCAATCATGTTGGTATATTCTTTTATTATTTCTAATTTTTTTTCAGTTGACAATCTTGTTCTTTTTTCTCCAGGTTGGCAATCTTACCGTCTACAATTTTGATAAATTTAGCACTTTTATAACTTACATTTCCAAAATTTGTGTTGGCTTGTACCTCTAGAGTGGTATTAAAGAATTACAGTCATGATTATTCTTTCCTTGTGTGTGTTTATGTCTGAATACACACACAAGCACACATAGGCATACACAAAATCATGTTAAGCAATATCCATCTATTCCTATGAAGTAAGAGTTAAAATCAGAGACATGTTGAATTTTATCAAATGCATTTTAGACATTTTTAGCACTTATGAAGTTCCTTGTATGATTTTTTATTTCTTTTGAGCTATTAGTTTGTTCAATTACATTAATAGTTTTTCTACTATGGAATTTATATTTCTGGAATACAGCCCCACTTGCTTGTGGTATGTTCATTTTTGTAACATAATGCTGTGAGTCCATTTATTGCTATTTATGAATTTTGCACCACTATTCATAAGATTTTTTAGTTATTTTTCTCTTTTTGTGCTATCTTTGTCAAGGTTTGGTATCCATGTTGTTCGTGCTTCATAGAATAATTTAGAATCTCTCTTTCTCTGTGATTTGGTGTAGTTGGTGCAGTTTAAATAACATTGGCATTATCTGTGCCTTGGAGGTTTGATAGAAACTAGAAGTGATCTGAACCTTAGTTTTTTTGGAGGAGAATTTTATGAAAACTCAGTTTCTTCAGTGATTATTGGTCTGTTGGGACTTTCTACCTCTCCTGATGTCAAACTGATGATTTACATTTTCCCAAAAAATCATCAGTTTCAGCTAGTTTTCAACTGGATTTACATATGGCCAAACACAGTACCAATAATAATAATAATAATAATCATAATTCTATTTTCTCTGTATCAGTGACTATTTCCCCATTTTAATGTTCAATTTTGTATATTTGCCTCTAATCCTCTCCTAACCCCTATTAGATTATCTCATCTCTAAAAAATCATAAAATGACACATGATTTTCCCCCCAGGACCCTATTTACTATGTACACAACTCAGAAATAGAACAGCTGAAATCAGAGAAGGGGATGAGAGGGCAGCAGAGGGACAGCTTGATACAAAGTCAGTCAACAAACATTTCAGACGTGCAAAGAGCCGGCACAGGTATTCCCTGGCTTTAAGCACCCACGGCTGCTTTTCCCAACTCCCCCACCCCAGTGAAACCTGCCAGTTCCCTGAGTCCTTCACACCCAGCTGTCACCTCCTCTTGGACCCTTTCCTGACTCCCCAGGGAGATGTCAGCACCTTTCCATAGACATCTCAGATTACTTTTCTTCAACTTTGAACAATTCATTTAAACCAACTGAATTAACAAATGTAAACATTCCGTCATTTTTGCTTCAGCTGTTCTTTGTTAAATGAAGTGTTACTGACAAGTTAGAAGTCCTTCCTTTTCCCCTTTCAGTCTCAGCTCTTACTCTCTCCAAGGCACTACACACATGATCTTGGTAGGCATTGCAACAGAAATTAGTAAATCCATAAATCATAGCTAGTACAGTTTTGTGTTTTTTGCGAAAATTAAATTTTCAGCCAGGCACAGTAGCTCACACCTGTAATCCCAGCACGTTTGGAGGCCCACATGGGTGGATCACTTGAGCCCAGGAATTTGTGACCAGGTTGGGAAACATAGCAAAACCCCATCTCTACAAAAAATGCAAAAAAAAAAAAATTAGCTGGGTGTGGTGGTGTGCATCTGTAGTCCCAGCTACTCAGGAGGCTGAGGTGGAATGATCGCTTGAGCCTGAAAAGTGAAGGCAGCAATGAGTCAAGATCGCACCACTCCACTCTAGCCTGGGCAACAAAGCAAGACCCTGTCTCAAAAAAAAAAAGAAAAAGAAAAAGAAAATTAAAGTTTCACTTAATGGTATTATTTTGCAATTTCCTTTTTTTGCAACATTGTTTTTGAAATTTATTCATGTTAATACAGGATGTATCCATATGTGTATGTACACATATATCAACTTTGCTAAGGTATAATTTATAAAAAATAAAACTCCCCAGTTACACATAGTTTAACTGCTGCACAGTATCATAGTTTTATTCATTATTCTATTCTTGCAGATATTGAGGTTGAGGTCTGTCTTTTTTTTTCTGTTTGGTTGCCCAGGCTATAGTGCAGTGGCACAATCATAGCTCACTGAAACCTCAAACTCCTGGGCTCAAGCAATTCTCCCACCTCAGCCTCCCAAGTAGCTGGGTCTACAGGTACACACCACCCCACTTGGCTATTTTTTTTTCTTAGTAGATACAGGGTCTTGCTATGTTGCCCAGGCTGGTCTTAAACTCCTGGGCTCAAGCAATCCTCCCACCTGGGCCTCCAAAGTGCTGGGATTACAGGCGTGAGCCACAGAGTCCAGCCAAGACCTCTTTTTTGCATTTCAAGCATTGCTGCCCTAGATACCCTTGGAGCTGTTTCCTTATGCACATGTGTGAGTTTCTCTAGGTAATGTATACCTAGATGTGAAATCGTTGGTCATAAAGCATATACACATTTGGCTTTACTAGCATTCTTGCCAGAATGTCTCATGGAGCTTTGTATTGCTATTTTCACAGAATGTTATTATTTTTCTCAAGCTATTGTCATTAAGCCATTTCCTTGTTTACCCACACCATTCCCCATGAACTACTGGAGGACCTGTGTGTGACTGGCACTCAAAGAACACTTGAAAAGTGAAAGGATGAAGTCCTTTCTAGCAGAAGAGATAGACTCAAAGTGTTAAGGGCATTCAAGGCTGTTAAGATCTCATCTGGCTGAGATCCAGGGAGGGCTTCATCAAGGAGGTAGCATTTGAATTGGGCTTTGACGGACAGGAAGATGAACAGATGAGGATAGGGATAAGGACCAGGACTGGGATGGGGAGAGGCAGTGGCTCAGACAGTCCAGGGCACGTTTGATTTGCCAGAGCAATGGTTCTTAGCCGAGCTGGGGTGAGATGGGGCAGAAAAGCCAGGCATGTGTATTTTGCAAAAACTTCAAGGGCATCTGACACATCCCCCCGCCCCACACACAAATAACCCCTGAGTGGGAACAGAGCATGTGGGAAGGGAGCCTCACTGGAGAAGATGGGTTGGGCTTACTCCAAGATGAGCCTTCAATGGCAGGCTCTGGGTCAGAGCTGGGTTCAAAGGTAACTCCCAGGGGAAGCAGGCAGAGTCACGGGGACACCAGGCCCTGGGATAGGGCTGGGTCAGAAAGCCTGCTCTTCCCACTCACTTCCCTTCCTCTGTCTCTGGGAACAGATCAGGGCTGCGATGGTCTGGGTTCTCTCCCCAGCCACACAGGAGGGTGCTGGGACTGGGGCTCCTTCTGCTCCTCCACTTGGCAGCTCTGTGACCCAGGCCAGGGGCTTCCTGTCCCTTCCTCCCTGGCTGCTCCGTGCAGCACAAGCTGCATGTATGTGCCTGGGCCAGGGCCCCAAGAAGCCCCTCCATGGAGTGTGGAGCCTGGGCCTGGCCTTGCCGAGTCCCCTTCCTT